>NW_012132920.1:1917618-2141491 GCF_000001405.40 Homo sapiens
TGAAAGAGAAGGAAAGAAACATTCTCCGGAGGACAGGAGGAAACTGCACACCCTCCACTCACCTCTAGCACCCTTTTGGCTTTCTGTTTCTTGTTGTTTGCTTTCTTTTCCTGTAGGAAGAAGAAGACAGAGCTCTTACCAGGGGGAGGCAGAGATGGCACAGCAAGAGACATGCCCCCAGAATGCCACCAATGCCCCAGGACAGGCCCACCCATGGGACCAGGTTATCAGGGGCCCTGTGGGGATGGGGTGGAATCTGAAGGGTGAGCCTTCATCCCCAGGCTGGGAGTGGGTGAGACGAGACTGGGGCCTGTATGTCTGAGTGCCCCCCAAACCCAGCAGTCATGTTGCGAGGAAACGAAATCACGTTACTTCTTCCAGCTGATGTTCCACTTGTTTCTTCTGTTGTTTCTGTGGGGAGAGTCAAATAAGGTGATGGAGGGTGGCCCCCTCAACTCTATTCCCCAGACCAGGAAGTGGTAGGCAGGGGCCAGGAATGGATTTTAAAGGCAAAGTTCTCAGACATAATGGGAACACGAACCGGTAAACTCTCCTCAAGCTCCCAAGGACAGAGGATTTGGGTCTTTGTTGGCTTTTGCCCACAGCCACAGAACTCAAAGTCTGAATCTGGAATCTCTTGAGAGGACAGCAATATAAACCTCTAGAGATGGAGTTTCAGAAAGGCCCCTCCTTCTGGCAACTTGTGATTTAGAGAAGTGGGTTCATTCAATAAACATTTACTGAGCATGTATGGACCAGGTACGGTTCTTTAC
The DNA here is from genome assembly GCF_000001405.40 of Homo sapiens. Taxonomy (NCBI): domain Eukaryota; kingdom Metazoa; phylum Chordata; class Mammalia; order Primates; family Hominidae; genus Homo; species Homo sapiens. The sequence continues at coordinate 1,918,392 of NW_012132920.1, forward strand.
AGCAGATATAGGATGGAAAAGGACAGACAGGAGCCCTTAGCCCTGAGGTTTCCGTTCTAGGGGGCCTTTAAATCTCAGACTCGAGAGCTAACAGAGACCTTTGATACTCACTACCTCCTCTGGAAACACGAGCCCAAAAAGGAGAGGTGGCTTGTCCAGAATCAAAGAGCAAATTAGGGACTGAGTCATGGCAGAAATACGGGGCCCTTGACAACCAGTCAGGCTAGCACTTCCCCAAGAGGCAACAACCCCAGGGCGTGTGTAGCAAGGACTCGAGCAGGGGTGTCTGGAGAGGAGAGAGTCGGCAAAGAGGGCAGCAAAAGAAGAGCCATGCTGCATGCTCTGGGGTCCCTCCAGGTGAGGCCTGGGCACCCAAGCTCCCTATTTGTCCCAGGCACCAGGGACCCCCAGCCCCTTTCTTCAGGGCCCCAAGGGGAAACTGGAGCCCAGGATTGGCAGCGTGGAATCAGGGGACCCCAGTGGACTCTTACCAGAGATTTGATGGTGTTCTTCAGTTGACTGATTTCTACGGACCTTGAATCCAGGACTACTGCTCGTTCTTGGCACGGGCTCTGAGGTGCATGCAGAGAGGAGGAGGTGGAGCAGGAGTGGGGGGAGAGGTAGAGAGAACAATCATTAGGGCTGGGGTGTGTGGGCTGTCTCAGCTGGCAGAGGGGCACCCAGTCCCACCTGGAGGAGGAGGTTGGAGGGTTGACCCGAAGGGTCACTGCACCTCTGCCCAGAGCCTCTTACCTCCAGATCTTTCAGGGTAGCAGATGATGTAGGGCCTTCCCTGTGGAAACCTGTTGCTGACTACAAGAGATGAGAGTGCACATGGAGATGTTCTGTCCCCCACAGTGTCTGAGCCCTCTGACTTCCTTTCTTCCCCATCAACTGGCAACATTTTCTTTTCTGCCTATCTTGGACCTTTTGTCCCATAACTCCTTTGTGCCAACTTCTCTCATGGTTCTTATCTCCCCACCATCCCATCCTGGGGCCCCTTCAGTGACTCCTGATGGCAAGTGGCTGTTCTCTTTGTCCTGGTTTCCCCTTGAGACTGGGGATGAGGAAAATCAAACCATATCCTGGGTGTCCTGAGTGTTTACAGCAGGCCATGTACTAGGGATTAACATAAAAACAACAATAACAAATCTCATGAAAATTTCACAAATGGAAGTGAAACAATATCACCTCTATTATACAGATGTGAAAAGAGAGGCCCGATGAGGTCTAGCAACTTGCCCTAAATCATATCCCTAGCAGAGCAGATGGAGAGGCAGGATTCAAATCCAGAATTCCTTTTTTTTTTTTCTTTGAGACAGAGTCTTGCTCTGTCACCAGGCTGGAGTGCAGTGGCATAATCTTGGCTACGGCAAGCTCCACCTCCCAGGTTCACACCATTCTCTTGCCTCAGCCTTCTGAGTAGCTGGGACTACAGGCACACGCCACCACGCTTGGCTAATGTTTTTGTATTTTTAGTAGAGACAGGGTTTCACCGTGTTAACCAGGATGGTCTCGATCGCCTGACCTCATGATCCGCCTGCCTTGGCCTCCCAAAGTGCTAGGATTACAGGCGTGGGCCACCACACCCGGCTAAAGCCAGAATTCTTAACCAGTACCCAGCAGTCCATCCACAATCTTAAGAATTACCCTCTATTGCCCCTTGGGCCCCCTGTCCCCAGAAGCCTGGTCAGCCAAGACTCACATCCCCAGGTGGCTGGCAACCACCAGAAGTGGCTTTCTCAGGGACACTGCCATTTGTTTTCCTGTTCCTGTTCGCTCCTGCTGGAACTCTAGGGCTGTTTTTCTGCCAATATTCTTTTAACTGTTGGAAAGAAGAGCAGTAATACTCATGAGAACCGTCAGCCCCTGCAGCCACATCCTCCTTTACAGTTTTTACAAAATACACTTACACACCATCTGATTTAATGACACCAACAACCGTACAAGGTGTTGTCACACTCATTTAGTGACTGAGAAGGATTGATATCATGGCTAGAAAAAAAAAAGAAAAAGGCAATACTGGAACTTTGAAACTCAGTCTTCTGACTCCAAGCTCTGAGGTTTTGCCAAGAATCAGCAGCTGCCAGGGACCAAAACCAGAGGCAGAGGTAGAAAAGTAAACATTAAGTAGGCAGGAACTGTATGCCATGTGGTTTAGAGTCATACATCCTCACACGTCTGTTAGTGTGAAGAAGTGCACCAGTACCTCTCAAACTCTTATATCAATGTGTCCTCATGGCAGAAGGCAGCCTTTCTCTTAAATCAGAATTTATCAGAAAGAGGACAACCCAAGCCTCATTTCAGAGAGAGGGCTGGTATACTCTTAGAAACCTATGTGACTGTCATCCCTAAGTACATTCATGTTTTTTCTCTTGATCTCAAGAGAATCAAGGGAAACTGATGCTTCAGAAAGATGTCCCACATTTATCCTGTGGCACTCAAAGTACCCAAGGTTGAGATAATATGAGGAAGATTCAAGGTGTCAAGTTCAGTTTCCCAAGATCTATTCCACAGAAGATGAGCAAATGTCACTTCAGAGACCACTGACTGAAGGAGAGTCTGGTCCCAGAACCATGGAGAATTAGAATATGAGGTGGAGAACTCAGAAAAAAATGTTAAAATCTCTCTGGAAAGTAGAAGCCTGGGAGAAAACCAAATCAAACCCATTCTCTCATTGCCACCCAGAGATACTGTCAACGTTTTGAGTTCATGGGGGAAGTGTAGGCTTTTCCCACCGTCAACATCTGTAAGGGAGTGAGGCAGCCTGGAACCTCTTGCTCCTAGGTCCCATAGTCTCCATTCCCCTTCCAGCTGGAAATTTGTGCTGTGACCAGAGGAACCAGAAACGGGGTGAGAACGCTTAGGGGACTGGGTCGTAAGATCAAAGGCCAGTCTTGCAGTAACAGCAGTTACTAGGTGGACTGTGACATCACAACATTCCACTCCTCCTGGTCGGGGGGAGGGACCATGTCAGCACCATGTCCAAGTCGCTGCTCCACGATGGGGGAGGGAAGCACAGGGTTGGGACCCAGCTCCTTGGAGACGCCAGCACAAAGAACCCAGGGAGGTCGACCTTGAGGCAGCAGGAGGGGAGGGCACAGTCTGCAGCAGGGAGTCCCAGGAGTCACCAGTCCAAAGTCACCCAGGGATGACTGGCGAGGGTGGGGCCTGGCTCCTTGGAGATGAGAGCCCAAAGAGCCCAGGGAGATCAAGCTTGGGGCGGCAGGAGATGAGGGCCCAGTAATGGAGCGGGAAGCCCCAGGAGTCACCCACCCAAAGTCACCCTGGGGTGATTGGCGAGGGCAAGGACTGGGCTGCTTGCTGAAGGGGTGGGGCTGACTGACAAAACTTTGATGGGGGTAGCCCAGAGGCACCGGGGTAGGGGGGACCAGTCCAGTGTGCCTCAGGAGTCGTATAGACTCTGGCAGGGGTCTTGTCATCAGAGGGGATCTGTGGCTGGGTTGAGGGTCTATGACCTAGTGCGTTTTTACCTTTTTCTTGGCTGCAGCCAATTTGTTGTGTTGAGTTTCTTCTGCCATCGCAGGGTGGGGAGGGAGGCAGGGTTGGGGTCACAGCAGCAAAATCTCAATGAGAACCAATCAAGGCCTCCAGTCACCTACCAGGCAGCTGTGTGAGTGAGCCAGAGGAGGCGTAACCAGGGCCCCAGTAGAATGCGGAATAGGGGCGTGGCCTTAATGCTCCAAGCCCATTGGTCAATGAGAAAGATGAAAAGGAAAGGGGGCGTGGCCAGAAAGCAGTGTGTCCAGAGGGCCCTGTGGCTCACAAGGAAAGCTGCCCATGGCAACCGCTCTCCCCACCCACTCTAAGAGAGGGGAGAGGCCTCCCACTCTGGAAGAGAAGAGGGGCCGGCTTTTGCTTTAAAAGCTTTAAAACTTTAAAAAATATATGTGTGTATACTTTATATATATGTGTGTCTGTGTGTGTGTATCTATGTTTTTCTCCTTAGCTGTCTTCATTATCCAGCTTCTATGCAAGGTCTATGATTTTGGCCTATATTTTTCATCTTTGATTACAGTACAAAAATTACCAGTATTACCTTAACTGAGATACAGATCCTATAAAAATGGAAAATGCATAGCATGCTTGATGATTAATGAAGCAGACTATATTATCCAACATTCTAATAAGATAAAATAATCACAATGATTTCTCTTTTTTGGAAAAATGTTTCTCTTATTCTCCTGCGTTTTCGTTAAGATTTTTTTTCTTAAACAAGAAACATGTCTAATATCTGTAAAAACACAAAGCTTTTTGGGCAGGGTGCAGTGGCTCATGCCTGTAATTCCAGGACTTTGAGAGCCCCAGGTGGGTGGATCATGAGGTCAGGAGATCGAGACCATCCTGGCTAACACGGTGAAATCCCATCTCTACTAAAAATACAAAAAAGGCCGGATGGGGTGGCAGGCAACTGTAGTCTCAGCTACTTGGGAGGCTGAGGCAGGAGAATGACATGAAACCCCGAGGTGGAGCTTGCAGTGAGCCAAGATCATGCCGCTGCACTCCAGCCTGGCTACAGAGCAAGACTCCATCTCAATAAATAAATAAATTAATTAATTAATTAATAAAAATAAAAAATTAATAGTAAGAGCAATGTGAACAAAAGTTGTAATAAAATAATTTAGAAAATACAAACTATTAAAAAATAGATTTTAAAACTTGTGCAACAAAGTCAAACAGCACCCAACGAAAATGTATACCCTTATATGTTTGTTTAAAAAGCAATTTAAATTACATTGATCCACTAAACTGGGAAAAGCAAAACAAACAAAAAGGGGGAAATAATTAAGACATAAGGAAAAAGGAAAAAGAAAAACCACTAGATTTAAAAAATAAAACTAAAGGAGGATTCTTTCAAAAGACTGAGATAATAAAACAGTCAAGCCTCTGATAAGTAATCAAGATAAAGAAAACTTTGAAGAGAAAAGGGCATATAGCCACATGTGAATATGATGCAAAAAGTGAAAACTTTACACATCTTTACAACACCTTAGAAGTATGGATGACATGTTCATTTTTTTTTTTTTTTTTGAGACGGAGTCTTGCTCTGTCACCCACGCTGGAGTGCAGTGGCGTGATCTTGGCTCACTGCAAGCTCCGCCTCCCGGGTTCACAACATTCTCCTGCCTCAACCTCCCGAGTAGCTGGGACTACAGGCGCCCGCCACCACGCCTGGCTGATTTTTTGTATTTTGGCTTAGTAGAGACGGGGTTTCACCATGTTAGCCAGGATGGTCTCGATCTCCTGACCTCGTGATCCACCCGCCTCGGCCTCCCAAAGTGCTGGGATTACAGGCATGAGCCATCGCACCCGGCCAAAGTGTTCATTTTTTTTTTTTTTAAGAACCTACAGTTATGAAAACTAACTGGAAAGAAATGGGTTTTGGGAAAGATTGAGTACATTTTTGTGATGTTCAACATTATTTTTTCTTACAGTTTTAAAAACACAATTGATGTTTCTATCAATTTGACTTAAAAAAATTAAGAACTATATTAAAATTTACCAGCAGAGGGGAGTGAAGGAACACAAAGCAACTTTCAGTTTAGGGTAATTTTTGGGCATAAACAGGGCAGCAATGTCCTCAACTCTATTCTTCTTTATTAGCCAGTGAATCCATGTGAGCTCATTAAATGTTATTAACAGCTCAGTCTATAATGGAGGGCAAATAAAGAGACTTGTAGGTCACAAAGGTATTGACTTTTGATCAGAAGTTCCAGGGGGCGAGAAGAATGAACTAACTCCATGCATTCTTTTTTTGTTTTTGTTTTTGTTTTTTTTGAGACGGAGTCTTCCTCTTTTGCCCAGGCTGGAGTGCGGTGGCTCAATCTCGGCTCACTGCAAGCTCCGCCTCCCAGGTTCACGCCATTCTCCTGCCTCAGCCTCCCGAGTAGCTGGGACTACAGGCGCCCACCACCACGCCCAGCTAATTTTTTGTATTTTTTAGTAGAGACGCGGTTTCCTCGTGTTAGCCAAGATGGTCTCGATCTCCTGACCTCGTGATCTGTCCGCCTCGGCCTCCCAAAGTGCTGGGATTACAGGCATGAGCCACCGCGTCCGGCTCCATGCATTCTTATGGCCACATTTTTCCAGTTTGAAGTTTTATTTTCCGAGTTTCTTGAAACAATTGTGAAATCAGTTTTATTACACTAAAATCACTGTATTTTCTTATTTTTGGATATCTATTTAAAAATATTCATTTAGAATGACATTCCAGTGAAATACATTTTTAACGGCTGTTCTATGTCACAGGGATAACAATTTGACTTTCACAAACTGTATTTCAGACGTACAAGGTCTTCATTTTGATGAAGAGGGGCTGTGGGAACATAATCTGATGCCTGTTCAAAATGTACCAGAAGTGCACGCATGTGTATGCAGGCATGAGCGCACACACACACACACACACACAAAACCCCATTGGGATTCCATTTAGCACACACACACACACACACACACACACACACACACAAACCCCACTGGGATTCCAGTTAGCACGCGCACACACACACACACAGACACACACACACAGCCCATTGGGATTCCAGTTATTTACCTCGAGATGGATGCTTGCTGATGTTCCAAAACCTCTTTAGGTCTTAAGGCAAAGGGCCTTTTGAATGCAAAAACCCTTACCTAGATGGAATAGACAGCAGCAATCATTGTCAACAACCTGAAATATATATTGAGTAGTTCCCATGCTAGACATTAGAGACATAAAGATGCAGAAGAGGCCATCGCCTTAAGGGAAATAATCCCGTTCAGACAAATGAGAATACATTGTGTAATGAGCTATCTCTTATAGGAAAGATGAAGACCAATCACCAACAGACCAGAATTCCAATATTTCACCAACTTGTAATATTATTCCAACTTCTCCTTCACATTCACTTAATTCTCATAGAGCAGTAACCAGAGTTTTGTGTTCTTTTTCTTTTTCTCTTCTTCTTCTTTTTTTTAAAAAACAAAGTCTTGCTTTGTCGCCCAGGGTGAAGTGCAGTTGTGCGATCTCGACTCACTGCAGCCTCCACCTTTTGGGTTCAAGAGATTCTCATGCCTGAGCCTCTTGAGTAGCTGGGATTACAAGCATCTGCTACCATGCATGGCTAATTTTTGTCTTTTTAGTAGAGACAGGGGGTTTTATCACATTGGTCAGGCTGGTCAGTTTTGTGTTCTTACTAGAGAGTTCTACTCTGTTATGTCAGAGAAGGAAAATGTCTTTTGATTTCATTTCAATGAAATGTCTATTCATTAATTACATCTTCATTGGCATTTCATACAGGATTAAGACTATCTTCTTTGCCTTAATGGTATACTGTGTGCATTGTTCCTTACCCATCGTAGCAGCTTTGAAGGTCTTTTATCCATATTGGTATTTTCCAGTACCAGAAAACCAAGTCTTGAAAGAAGGACTTCATGTCTTATCCATGGACACGCCATGGTTCCAGAATGTGTTGTCAGTTGATAAGATAGGCTTGATTTGTTACTGGTCTTAATGAGGGCTTTAGGTCAGCACACCAGGCAATGTAGGAGTTCTGGGACTGTTAGGGAAGGCCTGATGGAGAAAATGGAATGTTAGCTGGGCTTTAAAGAGAAAGTAGAAATTAGATCACTGGGGGAGGGGGTAATGTAAAAAACATTCCAGGTAAGAGAAAGTGCTTAGCAAGTAAGAAAGCATCCAAAATATTAGAAAGTACCAGGCTGGTGCAGTGGCTCACACCTGTAATCCCAGCACTTTGGGAGGCCAAGGCAAGTGGATCACTTGAAGCCAGGAGTTCAAGACCAGCCTGGCCAATATGGTGAAACCCTGTCTCTACTAAAAATACAAAAGTTAGCGGGGCATGGTGGCATGAACCTGCAGTCCCAGCTACTTGTGGGGCTGGGGCTGAGGCTGAGAATCTCTTGAACCTGGGAAACAGAGGTTGCAGTGAGCCGAGATCACACCACTGCACTACAGCCTGGGCAACAGAGCGAGACTCTGTCTCAAAAAATAAATGAATAAATAAGTAAAATAAAAATAAAATGCTTACAGGAACTTCAACCACAATTTTTCTTGTTCACTGATAGTAAATCTAATAGAGAATTCAGGATTTATCTTACACTTGAAATTTTGTTACTGATTACTGAAAAATTATCTACAAGCACCCAATTGTGAGTTTTACAGAAACCTGGTCTCAGGAGTTATGAACCAAAGATTCACCAGTGGACTCCGCAGAGTTTTCAGATCCCCTGAAATCATGTGCTAGGTGCTGACTGCATTTTTCTGGAGAGGCTATAATGGTTTTCATTCATCTGATTCCTCTCAAATGGTAAAAATCACCAATGGAATGGAGCCACACATCCTGTAGCAGAAAATTCTAAAAAACCAGGAAAAAGATGAAACATGGTACCATGTACCTGCTCAGCCTCTACAGATCCTGCTTCTGGAAGTTGAAACAAATTCTTAAAACTTGCACAACTTTTTTTCTAGTGCTTGAATGACCTCTAGTGGCTCCTTAAATTATCACAGCCAATTGCTCACAGCAGGAAATAGGTTGATGCGAAAGAAATTCACAGATTTTGCCATTAAAAGTAACGAACTAAAGAACTAAAAGGTGTGGAGAAATAATAAAATTAAGATGGCATCACAAAGGAGCACCTGGCTCAATTTCAAGTTATTATATAAGCTCCCTACTATCCAACCAAATGTAGTTCACAATACAGTGTGTGTAATTCAAAACAGTTCACCAGATAGTTCAGTACACACCATTTTTTAAATGAAATAAGTATGATTTTCCCTAAGGTCTTGCATTTCAAATTAATAAAGCATCAGCAAACACCCATGAAGAGAACAGTACCGGAATCAAAGATACAAGAACCTCGGGAATTAACACCCACCCTTTCCTCTCAGTTGAGGCAGGACCAGGAATAATACAACGTTGACAAAGTATAACAACTGGAGTAGGCAGAAATACTTTGAGAATACAAACTGGCCACAGAACTCAACCTGAGTGAGCACAAGTAACAAATATGGTCCAGGAACTGCTGGGCCAAACTCTCCAAGTGGGAGTGCAGCAGCCGCAACAGCAAGTACCAGTAGAACAAGGGCAGCACATCACCCAGGGTGACAAGCAGGTCCCAGGTTACTTCACATGCCCTCTGCCCAGTCCCTTGAGAATTCCTGCAGCAGCAAAACATACCATCTTCCAGGCACTGCTACAGGGAGTCCCAAGCATACTGATACACTTTCATTCACTTATTTCAAAATATTTGTCAGTATCTAGATATACACAAGACACTGTCTAGGCACGGGGGTGGAGTGTTGAACAAGACAATTCACAATCCCTGTTCCAATGGAGCTTGTAGTCTAGTATGGAAAGAGAAATAAATACATAAAATGCCAGGTGGTGATATATGCTGTGAAAAAGATCAAGTAGAACAACGGGGTTTGGAAATTACAGGGTGCCCATAGTATTCTTTTCTATAAGTTGATCATCTCAATTCAGACTAGCTGTTCTTCAAGCACTCAATAGCCACAGTGGCTGGTGGCTACTATACTGGATAGTGGAACACATCTGAAACTATCATCCATGCCTTTTTAATTCACAATCTTTATCCTCTTTCTTTCTGAATCCTAAGAGAATTCATCCAACTGATCTTCAAATTCACTAACTCAGCTTCCTAAAGTATCCATAATCTACTGCAACTACTGAATCATTTAATTCAACAGTCATATTTTACATATTCAGAGGCTCTTTCTTCACAGCTTCTGAGCAACAAATGCCTGCTCTGACGATGCAGGAATATCCTCTAAAATCTTGGGACTTTGTCTTGGACTTTATGTTCTCTCCCATCTTCTATAGCTACTCCATCTCACTGGAGACCTTTTGCTCTGAGCCATCAGAAGGAACCCCCATTTTTAAGATCCTAAGCCTTCTCATCTTCCTGGTAATACTGCCCTATATGCTCAATCTTTTAGATAAAAATCTACTCGACACATCTCTGAGAACCAAGTTGGGTACCATCAGTAATCACATAGGTAACAATTCATTTATTTTAGGCCCCCCAAAAAGGAAAAAATTAGACTTAGTGGCATTTTACTAGTAGCTCAGAGATCCAACAGTTTGCAGGAAATAGAGATGGAATTGTAAGCAAGGGAAATACAGTGAAATTATATTAATCTCCACCCAGACACTGTAAGGCCAGCTGGTATACTATCCCAGCAATTGGCTACTGCAGTGAATGGCACAGAGAGAAAAGTTTCCAATTCCTCTTGAGGCTCCAAATACCAATTGGCTACTATAGTGGACAACACAGACATAGAAAGTTTTCCAATTCCTCTTAAAGCCCCAAATACCACACAACCAGCTTCAGCTCTACAAAATCCTCTCTCCTTTACCCTTTTTAACCTCCTTCAGGACCTCTTGCTATTTCCCCTAAAAAGCCTTGGTTCTTTTCACCTACACTGACTCTTGAGCCTCTCCCAGTTCAAGGTATAACACTCTATTACCAATAAAGTGTAATATACATTAACAGAATAGGTAGAAAGTAATCTTTCATACGAAAACACTAAAAGCCAGAAGAATTTGAATTTTGAATTATAAGCTATGATTTAATTAGGAAATACATTACCTGTAACAAAATGTTGGACAGACTACAAGAAAACGGGAAATGCACAAGTCTTATTCAAAAACAAATGAAATAATGATGAGTAGGGTTCACGAGCCTTGTTAACTCTGCTGTGCCATTTTAATGATGGACTACATTGTAAATGAGCCGCTATGTTTAAGCCTAAAGGTCTGTTGAGGTGATAAGTTTTTGAACAATTTCCACAATCCCACAAAGAAAAGTCAAGTGAAGGTCAAGGAAAGCCGCATGTTCTAAATTACAGAATCAACAACAGTACTTCTTGTCATTCATCACATTTCAGTCATAAAAGACATTACCTCAACAACAGGTGTATTTTCCTGGAGATCAGTTTTGTGCGAAGCCAGTAAACCAATCACCCGAGCAACCTTGGCCCATCTGTAAACGGAGAGAAAACAGGCTCTGAAGAGAAGAGTCAGGGACTGAGGAAACTAACCCCAGCTAGTTACATTATGCAATGATGAGCATTAGATATAAGACTGTGAAATAAAAATTGAATGTGACAGGTCAGGCCCACACTCCCCCATGTACACAGCCCAGAGAAACTCTCCCTCGTATACACAGGGAGACATGAACTGTAATGTCTGCTGTAATTCTGCAACAGCAACAAAATTTAAACAAGTTATGGTGTAATAGTAAAAGGAAAAACAAAATTTGTTAAAAGCCTTAACCAGAGAAAAGAGCAACACAGTAATTAATCATTTTATTGCTGAGTACAGAGGCATTTGGCTAAAGGTCTCTTTTCTACTTGTTAGTAGATCAGTGAGTTTCTACGTAAGTGCTAAATATCTGAACAATAACATATCTGTATGTATTCATTTTAAAAGAAATTTTTACAATCAAAAGTTTCTAAAATATTGTACTATTTCCATAATCACTAGTCTTAATGAGGTGTGCCTTTAGTATCCAGCAGAAAACTGAATTTGATAAATCACAATTAATAAATCACATTCAGTGTGATTTGAAAAGGTATTTCATGCAGAAAAATTAGTTTTGATGAGAATTTTTTCTAATTGAAACAAATGGTGAGTTGATGAGAACTGCACTCATTGGGTGATGTCTGCATGTTGTCTGGAATAATCAATATGTACCTTAGTCAGCTTTTATTTTTTACCTTCTTAAAATAAACCTATGTGGCACCCATGGAGGAAAACAAATCAGACTCAGAGAAGTACTTCAGGGAAAATGTCTGCGTTATCACAACTCTAACATACAGAAATAATTCTTAGAAATTTCAACACTTATTAAATTGCCCATTAAAATTTCTTAACATATACAACTTAAAGAAGACCTAGGCAATTGTAGAACTAGCATCCTACCTCTGAATAAAAAGATTATAGTTTAAAAGTAATCATTTTGAAAAATATCTGTAGGATAATTGGAAAAGCCATCCTCCCACCACAACCCCCCAAGTAGCTGGGACTACAGGCGTGCACCACCACGCTCAGCTAATTTTTTTACTTTTTGTAGAGATGGGGTCTCGCTATGATGCCCAGGCTGGCCTTGAGCTCCTGACAAACAATCCTCCCATCTCAGCCTCCCAAACTGCTGCGATTACAGGTCTGAGCCACTGCACCTGCCTGTCTATCTCTTTTCAAAGACAAGCTCAAAATACTTTTGAAACACTGAACCATTTTTCAATCTATAAAAGTAAATAATGGCTACCAGATTTAATCAATGGAAATAAAAATGTATCAACAAGCCAATTATTTTCCCTAATATGACCAAAACAATTCCTATTAGAACAAAAGAAAACACACTACCTAAAAACCCTATACTTTTAAAATAGAAACTTTAAATAGCTTATGAATAGTCACTTTTTACCAAAATCCTAAATACAAGTACCACATGCCCCATAGACAACACCCTCACAGTACAGGTTCCTTCTCAAAATTCAGGTTTTCTCAGGTCACCACTCCAGGTGCCCCCAGTGACTTGACACTGTACCTCAGAACCAACCCATCTCCATGACGGCATCTAAGGCACCACTGTCTACCAAACCTTCGTGCACTGACAAATGTCCCACATCTGCACTGTTCAATCCAGTATCCACTAGACACATGACTATCAAGCACATAATATATGACACATGCAAGTGAGGAACAACAAATTTTATTCAAATTAATTTTTTTTTTTTTTTGGGAGACAGGGTCATCCAAGCTAGAGAGCAGTGGCGCAGTCTCCGCTCACTGCAATGCCTCCCGGGCTCAAGTAATCCTCCCAATTCAGCCTCCCAAGTAGCCGGGACTGTAGGTGTGTGTCACCACACCTGGCTAATTTTTGTATTTTTAGTAAAAACAGGGTTTCACCATGTTGTCCAGGCTGGTCTTGAACTCCTGAGCTCAACTGATCTGCCCACCTCAGCCTCCCAAAGTGCTGGGATTATAGGCGTGAGCCACTGTATTTGGCCTTAATTTTTATTTTAAAAATTACCCCCACAGTTGAGGGTGAGGGAGACAGTGCCCTGGGGTAATTAGTCATCTTTCATGTGCCTAGTCCTGGTTACCTCGTAAGTAGGACCGATAACAATACATACCGCATGTTGTTAAAAGAATCAAAGGAGATAATCCATGTGCAGAAAGTACCATTGTGTCCGACAATACATGCTGAATGAGTAAGCTACTATTAATTTAACTAATTTAAATAACCCCCATGAAGTGAATGGCTACCACATTAGAGCAGAACTAAAATTTTGCAGTTACTTATTCATTCGTTGACTGGTTTATTGTCTGTCTCCTCGACCAGCCCAGAAGATCCATGAAGGCAGGACTGTATCCCGATCGCCACTGTGACACCTAGACAGTGCTTGGAGCGCACTCGGGCATCTAAAAATGTTGGTTGAACAAATATATCAACATCAAAAGCAAAATAAACACATTAGTAGGAAAGGAGTGCATAAAAGTATGGCTGTCCAAGGCAAACAAAATGCAAACAGGATTGCCAATGTAAATCTCAGCAGAATTCAAGGCTAAACTCTTCAGAAGAAGATTCCCTTTAAACGAAACACCATATGACCTACAGAAGATCTAAGGTGTGAATCTTTATACACCAAATAACAAAGCACGCAAAGTAAACCCATGGTAGTGGTAAACTTCAATTTTCTTCTCTTCCAAGCACAGAGAGAAGGCAATAACGAATATATTAATCAATACATTCACACATTCAAGCATCCTAAATAAAACTAATGAAGTCAAAGTAACAGACGTATCTATCAAACTCTACACCCTACAAACAGTGACCACCCTTACTCAGTGGGAGGCTGCATAGGATGGTGTCTAACACTCTAGAATTCAAAGTCTTGGACCTAGCTCTGGCCCACCATTGGAGGTGAGGGAGACAGTACCCTGGGATAATTACTCATCTTTCATGAGCCTGGTTTCATGTTGTTCTAAGAATCAGGAGATAATCCACATGCAGAAATTACCACTGTGTCCTGACAATTTGTGCTGACTGAGCAAACTACTAGTACTACATTATTATCAATACTTGACTACATTCATGGCATACATTTAAAATGATTTTATATTGGACCACAAAGATAAATTATTAGAATTCCCTAGGGCAGAAATTATAAAGGACTCATTTTGATGTAGCAAAAGGAAAAAAGTAAAAATAACAAATACAAACCAAAAAACCTAAACACGTGTGGAGTTAAAAGCACTTCTCCTGGGCATGGTGGCTCACGCCTGTAATCCCAACACTTTGGGAGGCCAGGCAGGCAGTGACTTCCCCGCCCACGCCCGCGCTGATTACTTGAGGTCAGAAGTTCAAAACCAGCCTGGCCAACATGGTGAAATGCCATCTCTACTAAAAAATACAAAAATTAGTCAGGCGTGGTGGTGGGCGCCTGTAATCCCAGCTACTTGGGAGGCTGAGGCAGGAGAATCGCTTGAACCCAGGAGGCGGAGGTTTCAGTGAGCCGAGATCGTGCCACTGCACTCCAGCCTGGGCAACAGAGCGAGACTCCGTCTCAAAAATAAATAAATAAATAAAATAAAGCACTTCTAAACCTTATACATCATATTAAAAAATAAAAACTTTGGCCGGGTACAGTGGTTCACACCTGTAATCCCCAGCACTTTAGGAGGACAAGATGGAAGGATCACTAAGGCCAGGAGTTCAAGACCAGCCTGGCCAACAAAGTGAGACCCTGTCTCTAAAAAAAAAAAAAAAAAAAAAAAAATTTAATTTAGCCAGGCATGGTGGCATGTACCTGTAGTCCCATTCCAGTCTGGGGAACACAGTGAGACCCTATTTTTTTTAGAGTGAGTCTCTAAAAATAATAATAATAAAAAATACATAAAAGAAACAAAAGGAAAAATAAAAGGGAAAGGGAAAGAAATAAAGCATCCCTAAATCACAATCGTGTAAGTAACACAGATGCAAACTTATGAGATATTCTCTGTCTTTAATGATTGCACACTGAACACTTGACACTCACTTTTCTGAACCCTCTAGAGTCTCTAAAATACAAGCTCTTTTTATTAAATGATAATTGGAAACAAAAAGGAGGGCTAAAAGTGGACTAGAAAGTTTGAGAAAATCTCAGATGACATGCACAAATAGAATTAAGACTGACAGAGAATCAACAAAGGAATCCCCTGTCTAAGAACCACAGGTAGACAGACGTTCCCAAGGAAGCCTCAGGGACTTGGAATAAACTAAGACAAAAAGAAAGAATGAGCCACAGGACAATAATCAGATTAAACAACTGCACAAGGAAAAATTGTGTCCTTGTACAAGGAACAGCAGAGCCAATCAGGTCCTGTCTCTTTTCCATCTCCCTTCCCTGGTACACAGAATAAACCCTGCAGCCCTGGCCTCCTGGGTAAATGTGGAAAATCATTCCTACAGTGAGCAATCCACCTTGCTCACTGGATGGATGGATGTGGGAAGCAGCAACTGTGGTCCTCCAGATACCGAAGCGGGGAAGGGAATAAATGAGGAAAGCCAGTTCCACTGCAAAGAAAAACCCACCCTGGCAATTGCAGAGGCCTCCAGCCTGCCTACTGATCTTCAGCCAGCTGGAATCCCAAATTAAAGTCAACCAGTCAACAGGCCTCACCTACCCACATACCAGCCCTTTCTTTAAAGGAGAAGCTATTGGAGAAAGAGACTTAGGCAAGAATAAAGGAAACTCCTATTGCCAACTTCTATACCAATCAATTTAATCATTTATTCATAATATAAATGAAGAACCAGAGATCACCAGGCATTTGAGAAATAAACAGCATTAAAAAGCAGGACCATGATGAAAAAGAAGTGACCTGCAAGTTCAAGAGATAAGAATACAATGTTCATAATCCTAATTTTGTTCCCTTTTTTTCAAAGTCCAGGTTCCAGGCTTATATTATATAATCCTAATGTTTAGCCTTAAATATTAATAACAATATTTAATTCTAAATTCTGCTCCAAGATGAGGATTTTTATAATCCTAATATTTATCCTCAAATTCAAAAGTATATTATACACCAAATATAGGCAGCTAGGAAAAAGGACCAATCAGAGAAAAAGAAAATGAACAAAAACTTTCAAATATGATTGTTGAAATTAAAAAATTAACTGGAAATCCTAAATAATAAAATGAGTGGGGATAAATATCAAGTTTGAGAGCTCAAAGATAAAGTCAAGGAAGAGCAATAAAAGAAGAAAGTTTGCATGGACACAAAGAGGGAACAATCGACACGGGGGCCTATTTAGGGTGGAGGGTGGGAGGAGGGAGAGGATCAGAAAAAATAACAATTGGTCCTTACCAAGCTTAGTGCCTGGGTGACCAAATAATTCATACAACAAACCCCCATAACATGAGTTCACCTATATAACAAACCTGCATGTGTACCCCTGAACCTAAAATAAAAGTTTAACAAAGAGACTTTGGCAGTTCTTCAAAAGGTTCAACACAGAGTTACCATTTTATCCAGCAATCTCACCACTGTAGGAGAAATAAAAACGTATATGTTCACACAAAACCCTGTGGACAAATGTTCAGAGCACCATTATTCATAATAGCCAAATGTGGAAACAACCCCAAATGTCCATCAAGACCACATAAGCAAAATGTGGAATAGCCATACAAAGATTATTCAGCTAGAAAAAGAATGAAGTACTCACACATTCCACCATACGGAGGAACCTTGAAAACATTATGCTAAATGACAGAAGCTAGACACAAAAGGCCACACACTGTATGATTCCATTTATATGAAATATCAAGAATAGCAAATCAGCTGACAAGAAGTAGATTAGTTGTTGCCAGGGGTTGGAGAAGAATGGGTACTGGGTTTCACTGGGTGAGAAAACTGTTCTGAAATTAGATAGTGGCGATGGTTGAACAGTTTTCAATATACTGACACCTACTGAACTGTACACATTAAAATGGTGAATTTTATGGTATGTGAATTATATCTCAATAAACAAGAGCAAGTGAGAAAGCAAAAGAAAATTTGAAAGAAGAGTCAAGAGACACAAACTCCCACACCCATCCTGTAGGGGTTTCAGGAACAGAAAAAGGGTGAAATAGAGAGGAAGAAATCTAGGAAGTAATATAATAGCTAAAGGAGGGGTGAGGAGGCTGGGCATTGTGGCTCACACCTGTAATCCCAGCACTTTGGGAAGCCAAGGCGGGAGGATCACATGAGGTCAGGAGTTCGAGACCAGCCTGGCCAACATGGTGAAAACCCATCTCTGAACTAAAAATACAAAAATAAGCTGGGCATGGTGGCGTACACCTGTAATCCCAGCTACTTATGAGGCTAAGGCAGGAGAACTGCTTGAACCCGGGAGGCGGAGGTTGCAGTGAGCCAAGATTGCGCCACTGCACTCCAGCCTGGGCAACAGAGCAAGACTCTATCTCAAAATAAATGGAAAGAAAAGAAGGGAAGGAAGGGACGGGAGGGGGGAAGGAAGGGATGGGAGGGAGGGAGAGAGAGAGGAAGGGAAGAAGGAAGGAAGGAATTAAGGAAGGAAGGAAGGAAAGAAGGAAGGAAGGAAGGAAGGCAGGCAGGCAGAAGCAAATTAGTAAAAAGAGATGGCAGGCAGGCAGGCTGAAGCAAATTAGTAAAATGAAATTCCTAGAGACAATCTAGTAAAATTTACAGGCCTGGAATAAAAAGAAAAGCTAACTCAAACAAGACCTACAAAATAGGGAGGAAAAAAGAAGGTAAGGTTGACTCCCAAGTCCTACAGAGCTACAGTTAGTAAAGAGAAGACAGCTCAAACTCCAAAGCATGGCACAGAGGTAAGCCACTGAGAGGCCTTCTTGAAAACAAAACAAAACAAAAAATCTACCAGCTGGGTGCGGTGGCTCACACCTATAATCCCAGCACTTTGGGGGGCCAAAGCGGGTGGATCACCTGAGGTCAGGAGTTCAAGACCATCTGGCCAACACGGTGAAACCTCGTCTCTACAAAAATACAAAAATTGCTGGGCATGATGGCAGGTGCCTGTAATCCCAGCTACTTGGGAGGCTGAGATGGAATGATCGCTTGAACCTGGGAGGCAGAGGTTGCAGTGAGCCGAGATCACGCCACTGCACTCCAGCGTGGGCGACAGAGCGAGACTCAATCTCAAAAAAAAAAAAAAAAAATTGGCAAATGACTTGACTAGACCTTTCTCCAAGGAAGATATACAAATAGCCAACAATCACAAAAAAAGATGTTCAACATCACTAGTCACAAAATACAAATCAAACCCATGAGATACTAACTTCACACCCATCAGGTGTGAAAACACTAATGTTCATAGCAGCATTGTTCACAATAGCCAAAAGATATAAACAAGCCAGTGCCCAACAACAGATGAAAAGATAAACTGTGGTATATTACATACAAAGGGATATTATTCAGCCTTAAAAAGGAATGAAATGCTGACACATGTTAGTTACAACATGGATAAACCTTGCAAATGAAACCAGCCCAATTGTCCTATAGAACTGATGTTTACAGTCTTTTAAAATAAAGATAGAAATTGACCCTCCCAGTCTTAAAACTTGAGAAAATTACATTTGTCTTATCTGAGTTCCTTTCTTGGGAAACCAACCATCAGGCCTCCCAGATAGTTATCAAGGAACTGAAACTTACCAGATCACCACATCTGGACCATAAGACACCAGACCACCTCACCCATCACAATTGCCTAACCAACTACCTGCTTCCTGTCGACCAACTCCTCTCCCTCACCCTTCCCTAACTCCTGTTTTCCCATACGTGGTTACATTTCTTCCCTGCTAAATAAACCCGTGGTTTTAGTCAGTCGAGGAGACAAATTTGAGATTGATCTCCCATCTCCTTAGCTGCAGCACCCAATTGAAGCCTTCTTCCCTAGCAACACTCATCGTCTCCGTGATTGGCTTTCTGCGCTGTGAGCAACAGGACCTAGACCAAACCCCTCGATGTTTCAGTAGCAATATGAGGTACTCACCATAAGCAAATTTACCAAGATAGAATAAGTAGAGTATAGGTTACCAGGACTGGGGAAGGGAAAGGAAAGGGGAAGTTATGTTTAACGGGTAAAGAGCTTCTGTTCAAGATGACGAAAAAGTTCTGGAAATGAATAGTGGTGATGGTTACACAACAATGGGAATGAACTAAATGTCACTGTACACATAAAAATAGCTAAAATGGAACATTTTAAATTATGTGTAATTTACAAGTAACACATTTTAAAGTTACAGTATTACACTATTACTATATATGAATTATACCTCATAAAGTTGATTGGCAAGGATAAAAGGATATACAATTTGATAAATACTCAACGTTGGAAGTTCTAACAAAAGGCATTTTAAACACATTGACTGGGATTATCTATTGATACAATGTTTTTTAAAGAGTATTTCAGCAATTTTTCAGAAGTCACAAAGATATTTACTGCCTTCTACCCATTTGTTCTAGTTCTATGAATCTTTCCTAAAGGGAAAAAGAAAAAGCGGGCACGAAGATTTAATCTCAAAAATGTTCATCAAAATGTTGTTTACAACATTATAATACTATCCAAAAATAGTAAACAAAATGATCAGATATTCACAACATATAAAACGTTTACCTTAAGTATTATGTATTTTATTTTAAAATGTTGATAACATTTAAAATACATAATATATATGTTATGGGGGAAAACAAACATAAAAAACTATATCATGTGATTCTAATTTTTTATAAGCAAAACAAAACTAAGTATCTACTTCAATAATAATTATCTCCCAGACTAGGTTAAGGACCCTTTATCATATGCTATCAAGGTAATATAACCTGAGGTCAGAGAAAACCTCGCTGGAAGTGGCTTTGGATGGAGAAAGAGAATAAAAGAAGATTCCTACCAGAGAACTTGTCTACCTCAGTATCATTTTATTCAAATTAAAACTGTTTTACAATCAAACCTCAATTTTTAACAGTGGGGGAAAAAACAGTATGTGTTAATTTTAGTATCCAAGGGGATACTAGAACCATTCTCCTGGCTGATACAGAGGGATGACTGTTCTCGGAAATGATTTGGAATGTCTGTCTGAAAATGTCAGCAGGGAGCACCCCATTCAGGTATATAACACGTTTTAAATAAAAGTGTTTAAATACATATTTCATTGATTCATTTTTAATGAGCATACCATAAGCCTTCTCAAAGTATTAAATGCTCAACCATTACCTAAAAATCCTACTTTCTATTACCAGATTTTACTTTGCGAGAGTAACATTAGAAGACGTATAATAAGAATTACCCTTATTATTAAACATTTTCTAAACTCCTATTGTTTCACCCATATTTCACCAGCATAGAAGAATAATTATTATACCACTGCCACAATTCACAAAATCCTTTCACCTCCGTTTTTTCATGTGCCTGTCCTAACAATCATGAGATAAGCAAGCTTCATGATAATAACTACAACTTCTACAACCCCAACCCCACTGTCAATGAAATACCCACTAAGAATCAGGCACTATACGGCCAGGCACGGTGGCTCATGCCTGTAATCCCAGCACTTTGGGAGGCTGAGGTGGGCAGATCACGCGGTCAGGAGATCGAGACCACGGTGAAAAAAATTAGCCGGGCGGGCGCGGTGGCGGGCGCCTGTAGTCCCAGCTACTAAGGAGGCTGAGGCAGGAGAATGGCGTGAACCCGGGAGGCGGAGCTTGCAGTGAGCTGAGATCGCACCACTGCTCTCCAGCCTGGGTGACAGAGGGAGATGCCGACTCAGAAAAAAAAAAAAAGAAAGAAAGAAACAGGCACTATACCAGGTATCTCACATATTTACCACATTCAAAGTTGAATAATTACCAAAAATCTATGAAGTAGTTATCCCATCGCAATTTTACAGATGAGGAAACTGCGGCTCAGCAATTAAAGTAATTGGCCCAGAAAGCAGATCTTTGATCCACACCCAGGTCTGTCTGAATCCTAAACCTATGCCATTTCCTTGTCCCACCCACACTCCCCAGGAAACAGAGATTGAGAAAAAGATAATCATTTGGCCAAGTCTTATAGGCAACAGGAACCCAGAGCCTTCTAACACTTGATCTACGGTGCTTTCCACCTGGTATGTTGCTTCTATAAAAAGTAAGGACACTTCCTTCCATCGGGAGTTTATAAATCATAATTAATCTCATTAGATTATAAATAACATCATAGGGAAGCTATGTGCTACATAGGGACAGATAAGGGTGCCCAAGGGAAACTTTGAGGAAGTATAACTAAATTAATACACAGGGATCAGGGTTGAAGTATTTTATAACCAATACTCAAAACAGTAACAGTTAGCCTGGCGCAGTGGCTCACGTCTGTAATCCTAACACTTTGGGAGTCAGAGATGGGAGAATCACTTGAGCCCAGGAGTTGGAAACCAGCCTGGGCAACATAGTGAGAGACCTTGTCTCTACGAAAATAAAAAAACAACAACAGTTAATAAAGTTTCCAGGAGTAGCTTAGATAATCCCAGAATCGTATCTATATTAGGAGAAGGGCTATTTTTAAATATTCTAAAGTTTATAATTGGAATGCCCATAAAAATTGCCTATGAGTAGATTCATCATTACATCAGAAAAATTTATGATAATTACTTAGGACTCTGCTTTTGATAAATATGTATGCTGTAACTACTTAATAAAACCATGAGAAATAATTTTTAAAATGTAAATGTTACTTACATATCACAGTTTGCAGCTATCCACAAATGCTGGATTAGCAATTGGAACTAGAATAAAAAATGTAAATGTAAAAAAAGAAAAAATTAAAATATTTAAGTCATGAAACACAGAAAGTGACAGCAAAGTTAAAAACTCAGATCTTTATAAAAAGGAAATTTATACTGTACACCAAAAATGATATTTGCTAAATTACAAAGGCACTTGTATATGAATAAGATTAAAATAAAAACTAAGAACAGTACTTTTAGTTTCTCCTACCACTTTATATTCTCTAAATGACAGCCTTTACCTGATAGACACACGCCAACTATCAAAAAAAGCAATCTTAATACCATCCTGGAAGCAAGTGAACTTACATTTTTTTCAAGCCAATTCCCAAATGAGGGCCCACTACAGAAAACACCTCCGAACCACTGTAATTCCTTTCTGAGGATGACTCCAAACACTCTGCCAATCGATGCTAAACATGAGCCAAAAGAAACAAAAAAACTCTGACAAATTCCCATGAGCTTACCAATGGACCAAGATTGTCCAAAAAGTAATATTCCCAGAGGATAGGAAAAAAATATCTTAGAGGGTTGATGTCTGCCTTCAATGTCACAGCAGAAACCTTGCAGTTTACCAGATGACCCAGTAAAGGAACCAACACCCACAACCCGTTCCACATGGGCAGTTAATTCCAGTCACTGATGAGAAGGGAAAAGGTCTGTCTTATGATATCACATTTTTTTTTGTTTGTTTTTTGTTTTTATTTTTTGAGATGGGGTTTCGCTCTTTTTGCCCAGGCTGGGGTGCAATGGCATGATCACGGCTCACTGCGACTTCTGGCTCCTGGGTTCAAGTGATTCTCCTGTCTCAGCCTCCCAAGTAGCTACGATTACAGGAGTGCACCACCACGCCCTGCTAATTTTGTATTTTTAGTAGAGATGGGGTTTCGCCATGTTGGCCAGGCTGGTTTCAAACTGCTGACCTCAGGTGATCCACCTGCCTCGGCCTCCCAAAGTACTGAGATTACAGGCGTTCATTCCAGTCACTGATGAGAAGGTAAAAGGTCTGTCTTATGATATCACGCCCGGCCTGATTTCACATATTTTTTAAAAATCTTACAAGTTAACATAAAATGGAAACCTGAGTATTACAAACAACAACAACAACAACAAAAAGTTCAAAATCACCGTCTACTCTTATCTACTTTAAGACGTAAGGATTAAGCAGAGGATAATTTGCATAAACCTAAAATCGTGATAAATCAGTTTTTTCATGGTAGTTAAATCAAATTGCTATTTTAGCACTTGTTTGAGCCTCTATAAAAAACATAAATTTAAATGCATAAGTCATGTCACAGAGGCCTACCAGTGGGGAAAGGAGGAGCCTGGTGGCCACCTCCTGGTGACCAGCCACCACTCACAAACAGCAAAGGAGATTAAGCTTGGCTCAGGAGGTCCCCGAGCTCTTCTCACTGGAGTCGATCTGCGAGCACACTTGTTACAAAAAGTCATTCCAATCTTGGTCTTTCAGAAATTATAACTTATCCATTGCCAAGGAAAGAAAATAACAAAAGTATGATGATGAGAAAAACAACTGCTGGAAACATTACATGAGAAATAAACACAGAGTTACGACAGCTAAGATGAGGACAAAGAAAACATTACTCTGTCAACACCAAAAATACTCCAAAGATGACACTACTTCTATTTGTCCTTCTATATTCCTCATCTCTTTATCTATCCATGGAAACTTTTTAAACACTTCAATGGAAAACTATGCTTTCAAACCAAGCAGATGTCTAAAGCAGAATTGTCTCACAACCTAGATTATAACAAAATGCAAAGTTCAATACAACTGGAGTAAAAGACAAAAAAGCCTTTGTATAAATAAATCAACTCTCAGATATTGAGAAAAGCACAAACCACACAGTTATTAAAAAGTTCCAATGAAATTACTGTAAAAAAATAACGAGGATAACATGATAGCTAAAATCACCTGAAATTCCTACCTCCAAATCCCTATAAAAAAAGGGCAAAATCTAGGAAATGTGATACTCCCTAAAATTTTTTGCTAACATGTTTTTGCTGATCTCAATCTTTAGACAAAGAAATTGTAAATATAATTTCCTAAGTAACTCAAAGAAGAAAAAGGAAATAGTATTTCCCAATAATAATTCTCTAGGTTTGCATAAATAGACCTACTTGGCACTGAAAGCACTATTAATATTTTGCTTCACTTTGGTCTTTCAAAAACGTCCTTCTACACAGGTTTTTTTGGTTGTTTTTATCACTAATTAAGTTGACTGATATAAACCCTTAGCTGGTTTATTTAAACCTAAATATATTTTAAATTTACTTCAAATCATAGATTCTACTCTAGCCACAATGAATAATTTTCCCCAAATTGAGTTTAACAGCTTAAAATAAAATTTGTTAAAAAAAAAAAAGTTTAAGGTATGTAAAAATTTCTGACTTTCACCGTAAATAAGATTTTCATTAGCTCAACAGAAATGTAATAATTATCCCTTAAGTATCTCCACTCCCACACCATCTCCACAGTCATGAACCACCTAGTCCCGTTCTCAAATGTCCTGGTCCCGCCAATAGAATCCCAATCCTTCCTTGTTGTCCCCAACCCTGTGCACCTACACCTGCCATAAATGGTGGAAATTCAACCAGCTCTATGAACGGAAGGGAGGAGGCCCCCCACCCACTCTACAGGAAAACTTGCCCAGATCTACAGGAACCTCCCCACTCACAAGAGGACAGGGCAGCCCAGACTCAGCTGAGAAATGTCAACAGCTGGCACAAATGAATTACAGATTATTTACAATTCACATAACACTGACCCAAGAATATAACCAATTGTCAAGACAAAATAAATTTAGTTGTTCACATACAAATATTCCATTTGTGAATAAATTTCATATTCGTATCTGTATACAGACAGTCTACATGTTCGATAAGTCCTTTATGATCCTACCTGAAAATGCTGGTAGATGCAATATTTTTGCATCAAATTTAACCGATGGTGGTTGTTTCATTATCTGTGGTTAAAAAAAAAAAAAACTTTTGAGGCAATTTTAAAGATGGATATCTGTCTCCTTATATGTCCCTTATATCAGATAATAAATCAATGAGGACAAAAAAAGAATGTGTAAAATTTGTTACCAAAAACAAAAAGAACGATGCCTTTTCAGATTAAAACATACATATATAGATAATAATTTATTTTTTAAAATCATTTCAATTGATATCTGTAATAAAATAAAGCTTCAAAGAAAAAATTCACCCCATCCTGGCTTACTTTTTAGGTAATTTACGTCTAATTAGAAATTCAGTCTTTCAACAAATATCTATTGCTTACCTGCCAAGGTAAGGCTCTATGTCAAGTGCTAAGGGGGATACAAAGATATAAAAGACACAATCCTATTTTCAGCGAGCTGACTTTCTGGTTGGGAAGATGAGACAAACATTTGATAAACAAGAAAATATTTCACAATTCAAAAGAGGCAGGACATAACTACAGACAAAACCCTGGACAGAAAGAATTTTTTTTGTAAATAGTAGTTTAGAGAATACAGCAAGCACTTTACTTGATATAGTTGACACCGGGTTTACGGAAGAGGTAGAAGGTGGGTTGCGGTCTTGAAGGATGGCTAGAACTTTATGATTATATCAGAGAAGACACCATTCAAGGAAGCCATAATAGCATGAATTGGAAAGTGCATAATTTATTTCAGAAATGTGAAGAAACCATGTAGTTGGATCCATGAGCTTAGGACAGCCAGATACTGCATCTTGAGACTTTTAATTAAAAATTCAACCATCATTTCTATACCTAACTTCTGCAAAACTTCTATATGTAATATTTTTAAAACCTTTACTAATTAAGTAACCAGCATTACTGTACTTACTGTAGTATTCTTACTAAAATGCATATTCTCATTCTAATCTCATAATCCAAATTCATAATCTCATTCGAGTCATGAGAAACCCTTAGACAAACCTAAATTAAGGGACATTCTTCAAAACACCCAACCAGTTACTCTTCAAAGTGTCAAGGACTTGAGTCATACGTTTTATAACATGTATTACAAAAACATACAAAGGCCAGGTGCCGTGGCTCACGCCTGTAATCCCAGCACTTTGGGAGGCCTAGGCAGGTGGATCATGAGGTCAGGAGTTCAAGACCAGCCTGGCCAACATGGTAAAACCCCATCTCTACTAAAACTACAAAACTTAGCCAGGTGCAGTGGCAGGTGCCTGTAATCCTAGCTACTCATGAGGCTGAGGCAGGAGAATAGCTTGAACCCGGTCGGCAGAGGTTGCAGTGAGCTGAGATCGCGCCACTACACTCCAGCCTGGGTGACAAAAAACAAAACAAAACAAAATAAAAGACAAACTGTCAAGGTCATGAAAGACAAGCAAAGTCTGAGAAATTCTGACAAAACCGTGAAAAACTAGGACAGACTATATGAGACTAAGGAGGCATAACAACTAACTGTAATGTGGGATCCTGGAACAAAAAAAAAGAGGACATTAGAGGCAACCGGTAAAATTCAAATGCATTTGGTAGTTAGCAGCACTATTCTCATGTTTTATTTTTCCCTTTTCAGGAAGAATTCGAAAGGAGCAGTCAGGGTATTGCATGCCATCATTACACAGAGATATGAATCAAGTATCATGCAACTCCAACTACCACATTCTGCTGCCCTCCAAAAGGAGGCACAGGTAAGGATTATCCCGCCTGACTAACACTATACCAATGTTAATTCCCAGGTTTTGCTAACTATACTATAGACCTATAAGATGTGAACATTAAGAGCAGCTGGGCAAAAGCTATACAGGAGTTCTCAACTATTTTTTAATCTTTTCTCTAAAAGTAGTTTAGAATTAAAAGTTAAACACAAAAATTTCCACTGATGAAGGCTTCCCATAAACTATCAAATATGGTTATAAGAGGAAAAAAGGAAACACAGAATATTGTGTAAAGCAAGCTTGTCCAACCCGCAGCCCGTGGGCTGGATGCGGCCCAAGACGGCTTTGAATATGGCCCAACACAAATTCATAAACTCTCTTAAAACATTGTAAGAATTTTTTTGCAATTTTTTTTTATTGGTTTTTTAGTTCATCAGCTATTGTTAGTGTATTTTATGTGTGGCCCAAGACAATTCTTCTTCCAGTGTGGCCCAGGGAAGCCAAAAGACTGGACACCCCTGGGAAAGATATCACAAATTGTTCTAGAAAGCCCATTTTGAAAATGCGCCAATGCACATCAAACTTAGCATAATAAAGTTACACTGCCAGACATATGAACTCACAAAAAGAATTAGCTCCATTATGAAAAACAGCTAAATCATCTATATAAAATGCTGTCTATCTAGAAAATAAACATGAATCCAAAAACCCTTACATTGTTCTAAACCACACTAATGTTCCCAATGAGACAAGAAAAAAACAGTCATGAATTAATACAGAAAAAGATATTTAAAAAAGAAAAAGAAGGCCAGGTGTGGTGGCTCATGCCTGTAATCCCAGCACTTTGAGAGGCCGAGGTGGGTGGATCACAAGGTCAGGAGATCGAGACCATCCTGGCTTACATGGTGAAACCCTGTCTCTACTAAAAATACAAAAAATTAGCAGGGCGTGGTGGCGGGCACCTGTAGTCCCAGCTACTTGGGAGGCTGAGGCAGGAGAATGACATGAACCTGGGAGGCGGAGCTTGCAGTGAGCCAAAATCGCGTCATTGCACTCCAGCCTGTGTGACAGAGCAAGACTCTGTCTCAAAAAAATAAAAAATAAAAGTAAAACTAAAAAAAAGTAAAAGAAGCAGTAAAGTTAAAATAGAGAATAAGTAGTGGAATGTGAGTATGTTGGGGAGCTGGAAGTCAAGACAAAACAGAGGGACTTAGAAATGCATCTGTTTTTTAAAGTAAATACTCATTATCCCCCAGCAATAAAGTATTATATTCCAAAAGACAAGAAGCAAAAAAACTCACAGTGGTTTAGAAGTACATTGTGAACCATGACTCCTCAAGTTCCCATAGTGTCTCCCCACCATCTCCCCTGCAGTATTAACAACCTGTGACAGGGCAGGGCTTCCGTGTGATCTGCCTGCCCAGCCCAGCCTGGTGAGCAGTGCCCTCTGACTGCTTCTGCCTTCAAAACACATCAGAGACTAGAATACTTAGAGTGATTCACATTAGTGCAGATGGAGAAACGATGGGACTGAGAGCTAAGGTCTGAGGTCAAGAGGCTGGCAACCCCTCCGTGGCATGTGGAAGAAAGCAGTAGTGAGAAGCAGAGCTGACTCATTCAAAACAGAGGGGGGAAAACTTAGAACTCCAGTGAAGCGGAAGTGAAGGCAGAGGAAAGGGTTGCAGACAGAGCGGGAGCTGGAAATGCAGACATGCAGCACAAATGAAAGAGTAGCGGACAAGAGAAACAGGAAAGATTAGACAGTAAATAATATTCTGAATGAAAATCTTATGCAGATTTCAGATCTCAGTAAAGTCTACAACTCACTTGTCAGAGTGCTTTCTGCACCTTTGGATTGTCAATAATGGGGGTGACAACAAGATCTGAGTCGTGTAGATAAGCTCTCTCATCTGGGATTCCAGGTCCTGCTGACTCAGGTGTCCACTTGTAATCTGAAATGAGAACAAAAATTTGACTTTGTTTCTGTGACTAATATAGAGCTTTAAAACACTGAACTAATATGATGCTGAGGAAGACACCACTGTAAAATATCACCTATATCAATGTACTTCCACTGCTATTCAAGACACTTGCAGTCTCACTTGATTTTCACAAAAATCCTAAACTGTAGGTACCATAATTTCCATTTTACAGATAAAAATATAAAACTCTGAGAAAGTAACTGAATTGCTCATGTTACCATTAAAACTGGCTAGGACTACAAAAAAGATCTTTACAATTCAACGTTCTAAACTCTGATGAGGCAAACTGCTTTTTTGATTACCAGCATGGTTTTTTTTGGTTTTTTTTTTTTTTTAGGGATGGAGTCTCAGTCTGTCACATAGGCTGGAGGGCAGTGGTGCAACCCTGGCTCACTGCAACCTCTGCCTCCTGGGTTCAAGTGATTCTCCTGCCTCAGCCTCCCAAGTAGTGGAATTACGGGTGTGCACCACCATGCCCAGCTAATTTTTTTTTTTTTTTTTTTTTTTTTTTTTGAGACAGAGTCTTGCTCTGTCACCAGGCTAGAGTGCAGTGGCGCGATCTCAGCTCACCACAACCTCTGTCTCCTGGGTTAAAGTCATTCTCCTGCCTCAGCCTCTCCAGTAGCTGGGACAAGGTTTCACCATGTTGGCCAGGCTGGTCTCAAACTCCTGGCCTCAGGTGATCCACCTGCCTCGGCCTCCCAAAGTGCTGGGATTATAGGTGTGAGCCACTGCACCCGACCCATGGCTTTATTTTTCATTCATAGAATGCTGATCAATTTATTTCTGCTTTACAGAATATTCAATGTGAAGTTGAAACTGTAACATACAAAAATTTTCAGACTTAAATACAGACCGGTTACCTAAGTGTTAAACCTCAATTATTTATTAAGCCTCATTAGAGATGATACATAATAAAATCAATCACCAGACATTCACCATCAGTTATTCCTTTGAGATGGTTCTTTGTGCTCTATTTAAACATAATTTGTATTCCTAGTGCTATGCCCCAGTATTTCCCATCAGAAAAAAAAAAAAGGATTTATGCTTAAGAACCTTAAAAGAAACAATGACTAGCAAACTAAATAAAATAGAAAAGTAAATCAGTGAAGTAAGGAAGAAGGAAAATAAATTATCCAAAACTAGTGAGGAAGGGTCATAGATAAAGGAACAGAGTTAGCTAAGAAAATTCCTGGAAACCCAAGGTGCCCCTTGCAACTCAGATGAAAGATATACGAAAACACACAAAGAGGCCGAGGCCGGGCACGGTGGCTCAAGCCTGTAATCCCAGCAATTTGGGAGGCCGAGGCGGGTGGATCACGAGGTCAGGAGTTCAAGACCAGCCTGACCAACATGGTGAAACACTGTCTCTACTAAAAATACAAAAATTAGCTGGGTGTGGTGGCATGTGCCTGTAATCCCAGCTACTCAGGAGGCTGAGGCAGGAGAATCACCTGAACCTGGGAGGCGGAGGTTGCAGTGAGTTGAGATTGTGCCACTGCACCAATTAAAACAATTGTATGCAAAAATTAGTTTCCTATAGGTAAATTGAGTGTAGGCACAAATGCCAAGTTATAACAAATATCCCACTCACAATAGCAAAAATATATAAAACAAAATGTTCAGGAATAAACTAAATGATCAATAATTGCAATGAGATCATGATCATTAAATGAAAATAATCGTTATAAAATTATACTCTCTTGCTTCAAAGTGAACACATTATGTATAAAACCAGAAGTAGTAATATCAAAATGTATGAGATGTATGAGGTTACAGTGAACTATGATGGTGCCACTGCACTCCAGCCTGAGCAACAGGCTCTAAAAAAAAAAAAAAAAGGTAATCAGTGTTTACTTGGGAATTACATTGTAAATAATTTTTCTATTGTCTTTGTCCTCTTTTATATTTTACAAGTTTTTTACAATTATATATGTTTTGTAATAGAATAAAAAGTATCATTTAAAAATTATAAAACATAAGGCCAACACAGTGGCTCACACCTGTAATCCCAGCTCTTTGGGAGGCCGAGGCGGGCAGATCACTTGAGTCCAGGAGTTTCAGACCAGCCTGGACAACATGGGGAAACCTCTACTAAAAATACAAAAAATTAGCCATGCATGGTGGCGCACACCTGTAGTCGCAGCTACTCAGGTGGCTGCGATGAGATGAGATAAGCACCTAAGCCCAAGAAGTTGAGGCTGCAATGAGCCATGATCGTGCCACTCCACTCCACCCTGGGTGACAGGAGTGAGGCTCTGTCTCAAAAATAAATAAATACCGAGATATATATGTAAAATAAACTACCTTAGGTATTCACATTATTGATTATATTTTCTCAATAGAATGATTATATATTCCTCTTTATAACCATCTGCCAGAAGAGCTTCAACATCTATCGCATTTCAGAATGAATTTTTTTTTTTTTTTTTTTTTGAGACGGAGTCTAACTCTGTCGCCCAGGCTGGAGTGCAGTGGTGCGATCTCAGCTCACCGCAACCTCCGCCTCCCAGGTTCACACCATTCTCCTGCCTCAGCCTCTCAAGTAGCTGGGACTACAGGTGCCCACCACCACACCCGGCTAATTTTTTGTATTTTTAGTACAGATGGGCTTTCACTGTGTTAGCCAAGATGGTCTTGATCTCCTGACCTTGTGATCTGCCCTCCTCAGCCTCCCACAGTGCTTGGATTACAGGTGTGAGCCACTGCGCCCGGCCCAGAATAAATTTTTAAATTTACATTGATTTTCTATTTCACATAACCAAAAAATTAGCACAGTCAGATTTTATTATAACCAGTTTATACTAAATTTCAAAGCAGAAATAAGCTTCACAAGGTCCAAATACAGTTCACATTACATCAAAACTACAGTTAAAAACTAAAAGCAATTATATTTGTCAACCAATAAGTAGCATAAAAATTACTTAGAATTAATTCAAAGTAGGTCTGCATTCAACACAACTACGATTGAAAGAAATTAAAGGAAGACCTAATTAAGTACAAATACATCCTGTGTTCGTGGAGGAAAACTTAATATTGTTAAAATGGCAGTACTTTCTAAGTTGATCTACATATTCAATGCGACTGTGATTAAAATCCCAGCTGGCTCCTTTGCAGAAACTGACAAGCTGATCTTAAAATTCATATGGAAATGCAAGTGACCCAGAACAGCCAAACCCACCTTAAAAAACTTTCTGGAGGATTCATACTTTCTGATTTCAAAGCTTACTAAACAGCTACAGTAATCAAGAGTGTGCTACTGGTATAAGGACAGATGAACAGAGAAAAGAATAGAATCCAGAAATAAACTTTCACATATACAGTCAATTGATCTTCAATAAGCGTTCCAAGACAATTCAATGGGGAAAGAATAAGCTTTTCAACAGATAGTTCTGAGATAACTGGATGTCTAGGTGCAAAACAATGAAGCTATACCCCCCTACTTCATGCCGCATGCAAAAATTAATTCAAATGGATAAAAGAGCTCAATATAAGAGATATTGATAAACTATAAAACTCATAGAAAAAAACATAGGCAGAAACCTTTGTGACCTTGGAGTAGCAACGTTTTTTTAGATATTACACCAAAAGCACAAGGAGCAAAAAAACACAAATGAAAAAAGATAAATTGGACTATATCAAAATTTAAAATCTTTCTGCTTCAAAGGACACCATCAAGAAAGAAAAAAGACAATCCAGAAAAAGGAAGAAAGTTGTTATAACTCCTATCTAGAATATGTAAAAAATTCTTACAGCTAAATAATAAAGAGATACATAACCCAATTAAAAATAAGTTAAATTTTGGAATAAGTATTTCCCCAAAAAAAACAGACAAATGGCCAATAAACACATGAAAAGATACTCAACATCATTTGCCATCAGGTAAATGCAAATCAAAACCACTAAGACATAGAAATTCACACCTACTAGCTGGGCGCAGTGGCTCACACATGTAATCCAAATACTTTGGGAGGCGGAGACAGGTGGATCATTTCAGGTCAGGAGTTCGAGACCAGCCTGGCCAACATGGTGAAACCCCGTCTCTACTAAAAATACAAAAATTAGCCAGCTGGTAGTGGTGCATGCCTATAATCCCAGCTACTCGGAAGGCTGAGGCAGAAGAATTGCTTGAGCCTGGGAGATGGAGGTTGCAGTGAGCCAAGATCATGCCACTGCACTCCAGACTGGGCGACAGAGTCAGACCCTGTCTCAATCAATCACTCAATCAATGGAATTTCACACCTGCTAGATGTGAAATAGGATGGCGATCATGAGAAAGACAGGCAATGCAAACCTATTCACAATAGCCAATAGGTGGATGCAACCCAAGTATTCATCAACAGAGGAAAAGATAAAAAGGCATATTAAATACATACAAGGGAATATTATTCAGCCTTAAAAACAAATGAAATTCTGGCACATGCTACAACATGGATGAACGTTAAAGACATTATGCTAAGTGAAATAAGCCAGGCACAAAAGGACAACTACTATATGAGACCACTTATGCCAGCAGTCCCCAAACTTTTTGGCATCAGGAGCCAGTTTTGCAGAAGACAATTTTTCCACAGACAAGGTTGGGGGAGATGATTTTGGGATGATTCAAGGACATTACATTTATTGTGCATTTTATTTCTATTATTATTACATTGTAACATATAATGAAATAATTGTACAACTCACTATAATATAGAATCAGGGCTGGGCACGGTGGCTCACGCCTGTAATCCCAGCACTTTGGGAGGCCAAGGTGGCCAGATCATGAGGTCAGGAGATCGAGACCATCCTGGCTAACACGGTGAAACCCCGTCTCTACTAAAAAATACAAAAAATTGTTGGGGCGTGGTGGCTGGCGCCTGTAGTCCCAGCTACTCAGGAGGCTGAGGCAGGAGAATGGCGTGAACCTGGGAGGCGGAGCTTGCAGTGAGCCCAGATTGCACCACTGCACTCCAGCCTGGGTAACAGAGCGAGACTCCCTCTCAAAATAAATAAATAAATAAATAAATAAAAAATAAAAAAACTACAAATGATAAGCAACATAGAATAGATATGTAAGGAAAGGCTTTAAAAAGGAAAATAAGATCAATATAAACTAAGAAAGAATTATTACAGAACAAAGAGATTCTAGGGAGAAGACAAAAGAGTATCAAAATCACTTCGTAAAGATACTTGTGAATATATTACATGTATAAAACAAAACAGAGGCCGGGCGCGGTGGCTGACGCCTGTAATCCCAGCACTTTGGGAGGCTGAGGCGGGTGGATCATGAGGTCAGGAGATCAAGACCATGCTGGCTAACATGGTGAAACCGCGTCTCTACTAAAAAATCCGTCTCTACTAAAAACACAAAAGTTAGACAGGCGTGGTGGCGGGCGCCTGTAATCTCAGCTACTCGGGAGGCTGACGCAGGAGAATCGCTTTAACCAGTGGACTGTCAAGAGAGGTAGGCTGCAGTAAGCCGAGATCGCGCCACTGCACTCCAGCCTGGGCGACAGAGTGAGTGAGACTCTGTCTCAACAAAAAGAAAAAAAGAAAGAAAACTTTTTTTTGAGAGAGAGAGAGAGAAGTCTCGCTCTTCTCCCCCAGGTTTGAGTGCAATGGCTCGATCTCAGCTCACTGTAACCTCCGCCTCCCGGGTTCAAACGATTCTCCTGCCTCTGCCTCCCAAATAGCTGGGATTAAGTCGCCTGCCAACACGACCGGCTAATTTTTCTATTTTTTAGTAGAGACGGGTTTCACCATGTTGGCCAGGCTGGTCTCCAACTCCTGACCTCAAGTGATCAGCCCGGTTGGCCTCCCAAAATGCTGGGATTACAGGCGTGAGCCACTACGCCCGGCCAAAAAACCGAAAATCTTAAAGGCCTTTCCCCTTCCCCGCCTGGGCTCCAACAACGCGGGAGCCGCCCTGCCCCGCCCTGTCGCGGTCCCTAGAGCAGGTGGGCTGACTGAGGGCGACCATGGGTCCCAAGAGGGCTCCCGCAGCCGCGGGCTCCCACCTCGAGGCGCAGCGACAGGGGCCGAGAGGGGCCAGCAGCCCCCAAGCCAGCCCCGCGCTAGGAGTTGGAGAGACGCGCCCTCCGCCTTCTCCCACCCAAGCCTCTGCCTTGCCGGGCGGGCCAGTTGCGGGAGAAAGGGGCGGGGAACCGCGGCCTCTCTGGGGCAGCTTCCCCTTTCTCCTGGGACTCTGGGCACCCGCTTTCCGCCCTCGCCCTGCCCCGCCAGGCCGCCACCCGGCGACTCACCTTAATGTTGCGGTGGGGCGTGAGCCGCGGCTGTGGCTCCTGGTTCTCCTGGAAGATAGAAGCCAGTAACTTCGGTTTGGCCTTGAACCCGGACATGGACATCTTCCCCTCACCTCCGGCGGGAGGGGCGCGGAAAAGGAGCCTGTCCCGAGCCGCTGTCATGGCCGCGACCACCAGGCGGGGCCCCCGGCCGAGCTCTCGCGGCTCCACCTCTCCCCGCCGCCGTGACCCTCGTGGGAGCGCGGCTGGAAAATGGCAAGGGGCACCGAGGACTTGGCGGGAGCTATGTGGCGGCCTGCGGGGCTGCTCCCTTTATAACCGACTCCACCGACAGGAGGCGCGGCTCCCGTCAAGCCGCAGTTTAAAAGGGCAACAGCACCACTGCCCCCGCTACCGCCTGGGAAAGGGCTGCCCCTACCCCGCCCCGGTCCTCGTCGCCCCTCACCTCTTACCCCTCACCCCTCACCCCTCAACCCGGCGCGCCCCGCGCGCACCCGGCGTGCCCGCGCTACCGGCTGCCCCCTCCTCTCTTGACCCAGCACCTTTCTGCCCGACCGATCTGGTCCCTTCCTCACACTCGCGACTGGGCGGCACAACCACCAACTCTGTGTGTGTGTGTGTGTGTGTGTGTGTGTGTGTGTGTGTGTGTGTGTGTGTCTATGTGTGTGTGTGTGTGTCCCTGTCCCAAGGGGGCGTGGCTCACGCCTGTAATCCCACCACTTTGGGAGGCTAAGGCGGGTGGATCAGGAGGTCAGGAGATAAGACTATCCTGGCTAACACGGTAAAACCCCGTCTCTACGGAAAAAATACAAAAAATTAGCAGGGCGTGGTGGCGGACGCCTGTAGTCCCAGCTACTTGGGAGGCTGAGGGAGGAGAATGGCGTGAAACCGGGAGGCAGAGCTTGCAGTGAGCTGAGAGCGCGCCACTGCACTCCAGCCTGGGCGACAGACCAAGACTCCATATAAAAAAAGAAAAGAAAAAAAACCTCAAAGGATCACTAGTGGTCAGCAACTATGTGCAAATAAATAGGAAAACCTACCAAAAATGGATAAATTTCCAGACACATCTAACCTACCAAGATTGAACCATGATGAAACCCAAAACCTGAACAAACCAATAACAAATAATGGGATCAAAGTGGTAATAAAAAGTCTCCCAGCAAAGAAAAGCCTGGGACCTGATGATTCACTGCTGAATTCTAGCAAACATTTAAAGAAGAACTAATACCAACCTTACCCAAACGATTCCAAAAATAGAGAAGGAGGGAATACTTGCAAACTCATTCTACAGGGCTAGCATTACCCTGATAACAAAATCAAACACACAGACCAAAAAAGAAAACTACAGGCCAATATCACTGATGAATATTGATGCAAAAATCCTCAATAAAATATTAGCTAACTGAATTCTACAACACATTAAAGTTGGGGTGCAGTGTCCCAGGTTCACTCAACCCTTCCCGTTTTCCTCTGTGTGTGTGTCTACTTTGCCGTGTTCCCTGGTGGCGGCGGCGGTGGCAGTGTTGGTGCATGGGCCTCCCAGGACAAGGGGAAAGTGAGTATGCCCCTTTCTTGCCCCCTGCCAGGCGTCTGCAGCCTGGCACAAGCTCTGGCCAGGTCTCCAACAGGGGACCTGGAGATGTTTTTTTCCAATTTCTGGATTGGTAACTTGAGGCAGATTCTGGGCACTAGAGTCAGAACTAAGAGGAGACTGAATCAGGGGAGTCTGGGGTCCTGAGAGGCAGATACCTGAAACCGTCTAGAGCGTGTGGGGAGCTCGGTGCATGTTCACGCCAGTTGTTTTTCTCTGTGCCTCAATGTTCCAGGTACCCTTGGAGGTGCTGAGATCCTAGGGATTCCTGGAGCCTGGCTGCATGGCCTGGCCACCCTGATGCCACTGTGTTCTCCATGACAGGACAGCAAGGCTGAGGAGAATGGCTCCGACAGCTTCATGCACTCCATGGACCCATAGCTGGAGCGGCAAATGGAAACCACCCAGAACCTTGTGGACTCCTACATGGCCATTGTCAACAAGACCGTGTGGGACCTCATGGTTGGTGTCATGCCCAAGACCATCATGCACGTCATGATCAACAACGTGCATGCACCGCCTCATAGGGGCAGGGGGCTCCTGTAGCACTGGGGATGCAGGTGGCCATGTTGGCCTGGGGGAGATGCTGACCAGCCCTATGGGACCAAGGTCCAGGGAGGGAGGCACAGTCCAGACCAGAGCTGTCTCATAGAAATATAACGTGGGACTGGGGACAGTGGCCCATGTCTGTAATCCCAGCACTTTGGGAGGCCAAGGCAAGAGGATAGCTTGAGCCCAGGAGTTCGAGACCAGCTTGGGCAACATAGTGAGACCTGATCTCTACACTAAAATTTTAAAAATAGCTGGGCTTGGTGGTGGCACGTACCTATAGTCCTAGCTACT
The DNA here is from genome assembly GCF_000001405.40 of Homo sapiens. Lineage (NCBI taxonomy): Eukaryota > Metazoa > Chordata > Mammalia > Primates > Hominidae > Homo > Homo sapiens. Next base: position 1,955,520 of record NW_012132920.1, read on the forward strand.
CGACAGGCTGACATTGGAGGATCACTTTGAGCCCAAGAAGTTGAGGCTACAGTGAGTGGTGATCTCGCCCACTGTCCTCCAGCCTAGCGACAGAGCAAGATCCTATCTCCAAAAAACATTTTTAAGAAACTGAGTAGACCGGTGTCCTGGTGGCATGATAGGTCCTGGGTCCCCTCCCAGATGTGTGACCTTGGACAGGTGACTTTTCCTTTGGACCTCAGTGTCCCTATCTGAGTGAGAAAAGGGCGGTGGGGAGGCAGATCTTTGAGTCTAAGCGGTGTAGAAGCCGCGTCTGAAAAGCCATACTCAGGGCTCCAAGTCCAGCACACAGTCCCAGCAGGGCCCGGCAGGAGGCCAGGGCAGCAAAGGCATCAGGTCCCAACCTCCTTCCCTCTTTGCCCGCTCTCAGACCAAGGAGTTCATCTTCTCGGAGCTGCTGTCCAACCTGTACTCACGTGGGGACCAGAAAACGCTGATGGAAGAGTCGGCAGAGCAGGCACAGTGGCGCGACGAGATGCTGCGCATGTACCACGTGCTGAAGGAGGCACTCGGCATCATCGGCGACATCAACACGACCACCATCAGCACGCACATGGGGGCCCGTGGACAACTCCTGCCTGCAGGTGCAGAGCGTCCTTGCCGGATGCAGGTACCAAGGCTGGCTCCCACGGCCCCAAAGCCCCCCAGCCCCCATGGCTGAGCCTGGGGACTCTTGGAACAGGCTCCGTGCCCACGCTGGTAGACATGGGTGCTCCCTGGAGCCGTCACAGAGCTCATGGTTTATGGTGTAAGGGCTGAGAGCTTAGAGGGGGTGGTGTGTGGGGCTGTACTCTGAGGCGGCCAGAGTCCTAGGATAGTCCTCCTGTGCACACCGCACCTGTTGGGCAGTCTGAGTCATGCTGCCAGGGCAGGGCATCCAGCTCCCAGCCTGGGAGTGCTGAGAGCCAAATCCACTGCAGAGCAGGGGTGATAGTCAGAGTCCCACCTCCTCTATCTGTCGGCAATGCAGTGGTGAGATAGGATAAAACCTTGAGAGTCCCATACACACGGTCAACCCACAACACACCTCACAGGCCAGGCAGGAAACACAGGCCCCTTCCCTCCCTCCCAGGTACCATCATAGCTGCTAGCGTGTGACTGAAGGCAGGGTCCCTGGCCCCCGCTGAAGCACTATTGCTGGCCAGCAGGCTCACGCACCTTGGAGTGTTGCTCCTAGAGGTCACCTCTGCTATTCAGCCAAGGGGACCACAGTGCCTGCTGGCCCAGCTGACCTCCGCCCCACAAGCCCACCCACCTCCCCTGCCATAGACTCTCCCTCTTCTGCTTTTCCCAGCAGGAAGGGCCCAGCCTCACCTATCCGACCTGCAACCCCCAACAAGCTGAGGCTCCCCTCTTAGACTTATAAGTCTATAGCCAGTGGCATCCAGCTGCATGCCCTCCTTTCCTCCCCCAGGGACCCTTCAAGGGTTCCTGGGCTTTCTGACCCCCCAGAGGGGGCTCCGGCGATCACTCCACCCATCCATCCCTTTTAGCTTCATCATCCTGGTTCAAGCAGTGTTTCTTCTCTATCAGGCCTGGTGGCTGTTGTTTTGGGCTCCCCAAGGCGAGAGGCGGCCCTGGACAAGTGGGTTGGAAGACACGGTGACCAGAGAAGAGGGAAGCCCAAAGGGGCTGAGCATCAGTCTTAACAGTGGGTGCACTGGGTGCCGTGGAAGAGGCCAGCACGTGTGGGGTGGGGAGGGCTGCCACAGCCCCCAGGCACTACCTGTGAAACTCCGGCTCCTCCCTCTGTCTTCCTCCCCTTTCCCTTCCAGCCCCTCTTTTCCAGGAACCTTGCCACACCCGCACGTGCACCCTTTACTCCTTGGCCCTCCCACAGCTGCTGTGGCACACCTGTGCTCTGCACTTGCCTCACCAGCTCTCTGCTCGCTTTTTTTTTTTATTATTATTATTATGCTTTAAGTTTTAGGGTACATGTGACAATGTGCAGGTTAGTTACATATGTATACATGTGCCATGCTGGTGCGCTGCACCCACTAAATCGTCATCTAGCATTGGGTATATCTCCCAATGCTATCCCTCCCCCCTCCCCCCACCCCACAACAGTCCCCAGAGTGTGATGTTCCCCTTCCTGTGTCCATGTGTTCTCATTGTTCAATTCCCACCTATGAGTGAGAATATGCGGTGTTTGGTTTTTTGTTCTTGCGATAGTTAACTGAGAATGATGATTTCCAATTTCATCCATGTCCCTGCAAAGGACATGAACTCATCATTTTTTATGGCTGCATAGTATTCCATGGTGTATATGTGCCACATTTTCTTAATCCAGTCTATCATTGTTGGACATTTGGGTTGGTTCCAAGTCTTTGCTATTGTGAATAATGCCGCAATAAACATACGTGTGCATGTGTCTTTATAGCAGCATGATTTATAGTCCTTTGGGTACATACCCAGTAATGGGATGGCTGGGTCAAATGGTATTTCTAGTTCTAGATCCCTGAGGAATCGCCACACTGACTTCCACAATGGTTGAACTAGTTTACAGTCCCACCAACAGTGTAAAAGTGTTCCGATTTCTCCACATCCTCTCCAGCACCTGTTGTTTCCTGACTTTTAATGATTGCCATTCTAACTGGTGTGAGATGATATGCTCGCTTTTCTCTCTCCTGTCTTCTCTCTGCTTTCTCTCCAACTGCCAGCCAATCGGCTCAGGCAAGTCCATCCCATCCTGAGAGCCCCAGGCCCCCCTTTGAACTCTAAACAGATTCCTCCTCTTCTCAGAGACTTCCCTTTCCAAGCCTGCCTGGGCGGCTGTTCTGTGACTTGGCAGTGGCTCCCCCAGCCCCAAAGCCAGCCCCCCTTCATCTGTGACTTAGTCTATTGTTGCGGTGAGCTGACACATCCAGGTGTGACCGTTGCTGAAAACTTGTGCCCCCCTCTGTGGTATGCCCCTGCCCTGTTCTAGAAATATCTACAAATACCCATATACATATACACACACACACACACACACACACACACACACATACACCTACATGTGGCCAACCGCCTCGCCTCTAGCGCTGGGAATCAGTCACCGTGCTGTCCTTTTGGAGTCTTGTGGCCAAACAAGAGAAAGCTAACCCCTGACATTGCCCCTCCAAAGTGCGCTACCTTCAGTGAGCCTCCCTGTCACGCCCAGCCTATGGAGAGACACACCCCGCCATCCCTCCCGCCCCCCCCCGCCTCCACCAAGCATGGGAGTGCTGTGCAGGCAGCTGAGTGGCCTGACAGTCTCTACCAGTCCTGCTGTCCCTTGGCTGAGAATCAAACCCCCTTCTGGATGGCGGGGAAGTGTGTCCTCTGCTGGCTGTGTTCTCTGTGGAGCTCAGGGGAGGGGAAAGGCCAAGCCATTTCTAGGGTGCTGTTGGGAGCAGTGAAAAGGCCATGCCCTTTCCAAGGGACACTTCCTGGAAAGCCCCTGGAGCTTAGCGGGCTCTTATCCTGTGAAGCCGGCTCTGGCCACCAGGGGGCAGGGCCATGAACTCAGCCCAGAGGGAGCCTGCAGGGCAGCCGGCACTCTGGAGGCACAGACAGAACAGGCCACCAGGTGCAGACAGGAGAGGGAGACAAGGGGATAGAACGGAAGATGCCGGGGCTGGGTGGAAGTCAGTGCCCTTAGGTGCTGGTACCTGTCTTCCCGGCCACCGCTAGATCAGGCTTCTGAGCCTGTTGGCTGTCAGGGCCAGACTGCGCCCCATAGACTACATGGCAGTCCCCTTGGAATCCCCCAGGCGCCACCAGGCAGCATACAGGTAACACGCCTGGAAGGTCCCCAACAGCCTAGCTGGACATGCTCAAGACACTCTGGGACTCCTTGTTTGGTGGCACAAACTCCAGGACCCAGTGAGGGAAACGGAAACACACCAGGCCGAGCAGTATGGCTAAATCCATTTATTCCAAAATAAAAAGCAAAATAAACAGGAGTCGCATCACCAGGGAGCCATGACCCCATCCCCACCTCCTTCCTCTGTCCTATGCTAGCAATAAATAAGTTTCCCAGCCACAAATAATTATTACAACCTCCTCCCCATGTGCCAGCTCCAACCTCAGCTAGGTATGACACAGGGGTGGCCCTACCCTCTGGAATATACAAAACCTTACACAGACACAATGTGTACACCGGGGAACGGGGGCCACCCCAGCAGCCCGTGCCCTCGCCTGGTCCACAGTTAGCCCCACTGTCCTGCCTCTCTGAATAAGAAGGGAGCCCCCCTGAGGGAAAAGTTGCTATGGTGAGAGTAAGGGGGGCATCAGGCCTCCTCCAAACAAACCAACTCCACCAGCCTCTGGCTCTTAAATAACAATCATCATCATCCAGAAATTTAGGGACTCAGCCCTGGTCAGGGTGGCAAAGGGTCTGTTTGTCTTTCCCCATTAGACAGAGGTCTTGTCCTGCTACCCTAATTGTAAAGGGCTGCCTGGGAAGGGGTGGTAGGGACATGGTGGCGGTGGAGACTCCGGCCCCACTTCTCCAGGCTTTGCTGACAGGGGCCTGCTTTTAATTTTTATTTTTATTCCATGACTTTTTAAAAAAGAATCCCGTAACTTCTTTTTCATAACTTTTTTTGTAACTTTTCATAATACTGTTTTCTACTTTGTTCCCACAAGTTTTTTTGCCACAACGTTTTTACATTTTTTATCCCATAACTTTTTCACCCCATAACTTTTTTAATCCCATAACTTTTAAAATCTTGTGTTCTTTAAAGAAACACTTGCATAGTTATATCACAACTTTGTAAAAATGAAACACATTATCTCATGCCAAGCATGCCCAGCATTTGCACAGTATCAATACCTTTAATACTATAGTTTTCAAGAAACGCAAAATAAAATTTTAAGACAAAAACAACACATTGAAACAACTTAATAATTTATTACATTACAGTGGCATCACACCAGCAGTCAATAAGGCCACTCTAGGGAAAAATCTTTCAGTATTTCCACGACACATTCTCTTTACAATAATTCATAAACTGGTAAAATTCATTCTAAGAAAACTTGGCAAATAAAACTTTGGACTGGAATTGGCATTTCTTTCTCTGCTTTTCGTTCCCACCATTTCTTTCTTTTATACTACAGTATTCATATTTTAAAATGTTTTAAATTATTTCAGAACATTAAGATAGCAGTTACATTTTTTAATAGTTATATTATTTTAAAATGACTCTTTAAAATAAAGTTTTAGAGAAACTATATTATGGATAGGGCTGATTTACATTTTCAAATTTTCTAAAATCAGCTTTGGTTTTAGAGCTGATTTTTTTTTTCATTTCTGGAAAATTATCAGGTTTAATCAAATACTTTTAAAATGATTATTATACATTGCCATCTTTAAATAGGTATTTTGATTCTTCCTACAGAAATCAAAATGTATTCAGTGGAACTCACAGTTTAAAATTCTATGTTTCTGATGAACTCTAACATTCCAATGTTGCCTTCTAAGCAAACTGAAAGCTGCCTTATACTGAATGAGGAAGAGCACAAATACTCGGCTGAATGAGGTATCGCAAAAGACTGCATGCACTTTGGAGAAAGACTTGAGTTATTGTCATACAATTTCCATTCTTTTTAGCTTTTTCTTAAATATATGACAAATACCTACACAAAGAGTGGTATTTCAGTCAATATAGTAAATTTATTTTCCAGACTGACCTTCAGCTTAAATATGCCAGTGTGTGATTTAATCCATAGGCACCTCATGAACACATTATTGTCAGATTGGTTACAGATGCTAAACGCTATCCGAAGGTCATTCCTAGTCACTGATATTTATCAGGGTAAAAGTGAAGTGATTTCAACGATAAAAGTACCTTTGCAATAATTTATCAATGTATTAGATAAACCCAGTTTCAGAATGATAAAAGAAAAAACGTTAGACCAAATAATGTGGCTGATTAACAGTGGTCCGATTTCTAGCCCGAGGGTTTAAAATGCTCTTAAAGTAACTGTCTTTAAACTGAACTCAAAGAATGCAAAAGCGGCAAGTTCAGAAAATAAAAGGCGAGAACAGGACTTTAAGTGCATTTTAAACCCACGGGCTACAAATCGTACCACTGTTAATTAGCCGCATTATTTGGTCTAAGATTTTTTCTTTATCATTCTGAAACTGGGTTTATCTAATACATTGATACATTCATAAAATTTGGAAGAGTCAGTGGAAGTCACAAGGACCGAATATTTGCACTCTTTCAGTGAATGCCAGCAAATCTGTTATTCCATCGGTAAAATCGTATTGTTGCTCTCCTGTTAATGTCATATTTATAGAAGTATCATGAGGATGCCAAATGCTAAAAATGGAGATGATCTAGTAACTAGAAATCCCCACCGCAGGGAGCACACACACCTATCTCCCTGCATCCTAACAATGTGATGTGTTTTGGAACACAGACATTAGAACTTCATGAAGTTTGAACTGTTGAGTCTTTCCCAAGCATCATCAAGTTACGATTTAGGCAATACATAACTGAAATGCATTCATTCATCATGCATAGGCACAATCACATAAATATTGCACAAAATATGTCCCGAACAGAAACCCAGAGGTACAAAAACATATTTCACTTTGTAAAGAAGTTTGTGAGAAAATATAACTCTGTGGTTGTATAGACACGTTTCCTGATAATACATTGACATTCACGAACAACAGTAGATTGCACTGCAGTTTGTACACATTTTAAGTTTCATAAACTTCTCCTTGATTTTCAAAGATAGTATAATACCATCTACTAAAACTCCTTTTTGTTTCAACTATCTCACATATATTAGTTTATAAGAATGTTTCTATTTTTTTAAAGTGTTTTCCATTCAAAGAAAAAGAAGTAAATTCCTATGTCAGAGTAACCAAGGTGGTTGAAGAATAGGTATTAGCCAAAGAGGTCTAGATGGTAAAATCAATCTTCAAGCCTCAAAGAATCTCCGTGAACAGAGAGGAATGCCAGGAGTCACACAGCTTTCCTTCACTCTAATTCATTCTTGACTAGAGCCTATATGCCTGTTCCAGGGACATTTGAACTCGTAAAGGATTTCTTATGATCTTCACTAAATACATTAAGAAGAATGCCAACCAGTGCCCTTTTGTGTACTGGGGCATGTAGTCATGTGATTAAAACAGGTAACATGAACTCTGACTTTAAAATGTATTGTAGATACAAATGCTCTAAGCTAGGAAAGGTTTTCCACATCTACAGTCAACGATGGGAACCTTTCATTCCTCAGAAATAAGCCCTTTTTAGGTCATCGAAAAAGAGTGCAACTGCTGCAGCTCATGATGCAATATCTTCATGAGCCCAGAGCACATACAAATCCTAAGGGCACCACCATAATACACCGCTAATTCCTGGCACCGGAAGAGATGAAACACACTCTATCTTGCACATACCTGCCAGAGGAGGCCACTTTCCTCTTCTGTGAGATTTAAAAAGCTCCCCCAAAAGGTTATCACTCCCATCACCAATACACAGAAAATGGAGGAAAGGCTGTTTCCAATTCTTGGCCTTTAAACAACTCTAAATGTCAGTACTCATAGTGGCGTATTACAAAGTAATAAACAGTGCACACTTGGGGGCAAACTACATATTGAGCTAAGGAAGAGCTCACTGTGATTAAGATTACATCAAACAACAGCAGAACATAGGCAAATTTTGTCTGAATGCTGTAGTGAATATACATGCTGCAATAACATTAAAAAAGCATGGCAGCCTATTCCAAACCAAAGAGAACAGTTTTGGGCAAAGAGTGGGTCTTTGTGTGTTTGAACTCCCACCACGTAAGGGCAAACTCGATATGCACGCTAATGACCTACAATTATGAAATTAAAAAAGAAAAATGCTAAAGGATGCCAGAGTGAACATCAGTGAGAGCCACAGACACCCACTCTCTTTTAACTTTTTACAAATAAACTTAAACTATAAATTAGAAACACAAATAATCATGAGTGAGTCTAACATTCAAAGGAAGTAAATGAATTGTGTAGGAGATTAACCCCATAACTTGGTTTCTTATTTAAAAATTTCTTGAGCAGCTGTTTGATGATGGTGATGTTTATCTCCTTCTTCTTGGCAGCCAAGCCCAACAAAATAATGGCACACAGCAGTTGCTGCCCAAGCCTGGGTGCTCCTGGTGGTCCTGCACGATCGGCTGTGCAGTAGGCTTGTCAAGGAGAGGATCCTCCCTGGCCTCTCCTTGGGCAGAGGAGGTGAGGGTCACCTCACGAAGATCTTTGGAGAGAGGGAGGCGGGGATCTGAGCACAGTGGGAGCCCCCCTCTTCCTGCCTACCCACCCCACCTGAGGGCTCTACACACCACCATGCTTGTCTGCAGCCCCAAGCTCCTGGGGGGCTGGGGCTCCTGGACCGGGCTCATCAGCAGAGTTGTGGGCAGCGGCCAGGAATTTTCTGTGCCCATTGTTGTAGTTGCTGTAAGCCGCAATACCATCTGCTGCAGCTCCAGCAGCTTCACCTGGAGGGAGGGGTGCTCAGCTGCCATGCCGCTGCCTGCGCCCACCCTCACACCCACCCCCACCCCCACCCCCACAGAGATGTTGCACACCCTACCTTCATCTCCTCCCTGAGCTCCAGCCTGATGGTGTCCTCCTCCCAGTGCTGCATCTTTGGCACGGCCCCCTGGTTCTGATAAAAGGTGATGGATTTTCCTGCGGGAGGACAGGGCTCAGATTCTGGGGCCCCTCTGATGGCCCTGTAGCTCCCCCTGCCGTGCCCTGGCCTCCCACTCACTGATGGCATCTCTCTTGCCAGTATTGAATGAAGCGAAGTTCTTGTTTTTTCACCAGCTCACTCAGGTCTGCCTTCTCCTTCAGGTGGTCCATAAAGCTGCTCTGGAGCCAAAATATTGCAGTCACATCTCGGCAGCGACCTGCCCTCAGGTGGCATTTTCAAGTCATGGAGAAGGTGGAGGTGAGTCCTGGCATGGGCCAGCTTCTCCGTGACTTCCTGCAGGGCCCAGTGGGTCTCCCCACTCACAGACTCGCCCCCAGGCCCTGGGGCTCCAGGGCCTCTGGCTGCCTCTGGCTCCTTCTGGGCCGAGGCCACCGGGTGAGCCAGGCGCTGGCAGCACACCCTCTGCTCTTTCACCTGCTCTTGTAACTGTGCCTGCTTCTCCTGGGCACTAGCTCCAGCGGACTTGAAAAATGCCACCTGAGGGCAAGATGTGAGCATTCTTCTAGGGGCATACACAGAAGAAATGGGGCAGAGAGGTGGAGCGCAGCCCCTTCCCTTGGGGCCTCAGAGAGTGCACCTGTTGGCCACAGGTGAAATGGTGTCTGACCACTGGCTCTCAGAAGGGGTGAGGGTCCAGAGAAATCAGAAGGCAGGGAAACGAAGAGCATAAAGGGGTCTTGGAGGGACCACAGAGAAAGGTGGCAAAATGGGTGCAGGGGGGAGTCAGGCTCACCATGGCCTCCCTGCTCTCCGGGTCCTCTGGGACACTCGGCATGGGCTGAGGTGCCTCCTCCCCCTCACTGTCCAGATGTTCTCCTCCGTGTCCTGTGGGGGGTGGCCAGAGGGGTCTTCAGACAACCCAACAAGGGAGGTACTGTGGGCCCACCTCTACCTCCACCCTCACTGTGTAACCCTGAGCCAGCCCCTCCCCAGAGAGGAATGAGCTGTTGTTCTTTATTTTTACTTTTAAGAATCAAGATCTTGCTATTCCGCCCAGGCACACTCCCACTACTGGTCGATGTGGGAGTTCTGACCTGCTCCCTTTCTGACCTTGGCCAGTTCAGCCACCCTTAGGCAACTTGGTGACTGCCCGCTCACAGGAGGTCACCACACTGATGCCGAACTTAGTGCAGGCACCCGGTCGGCATAATGACCAGCTGCTCTAAAGGTCTCTTCCAACTCCTCAATCCTATGCTGCTAGCAGTCCCCCCTTCCTCCTGGGGCTCTCTCCTCTTCCTCTGAGCGGTCTCCCGTACCTTCCCCAGGGAGAGCCATGAGGTTCAGCTGGGCCGTTAGCTGCTGGTTCTGCTGGCTGGCCGCTTCCAGGTGCTCCTAAGGGGCCAGGAAAGAGTGAGAAGGGATGGAGTTTGCCAGGTCGTCCCCCTCACAGCCCCATCCTCGGCAGCTCCCTCCCCTGGGTCTCCTGCAACTTTTGGCAGGCCATCTCGGCCACTGCTTTGCCCCAAGCTTTCTACTGCTGCAGCTGGTTCATTAGCTGGGTCTGTTGCAGTCACTGCCTGTACAGCGCCTCCTTCTCACAGGTCAGCTGCTGATAGGCGGCCACCTGCTGCTGATAGGTGGCCACGTACTGCTGCAGGTGACCCAGGTAATGGTCTGGCTGCTGCTGCAGACTCTGAACCTCTTGGCTCTTCAGCTACACCTGCAGGAAGACCCTGGGTGTGAGGGCACGTGGTGGCTGGTTTCCAGATTCTGGGCCCATTAATAGGGTAGCGAGGGCACTGTGGGGCTCTGTCAGCTACCCAGGCCCCTGTCCCCTTACTCCAGGCCTAAGTGACTGCCTCCCTTTCCTAGAACCCCATGCCTCCTTCCCCAGCCTCAAATCTCATACCCTCTTCTCATTTAATCCTCAGCACCTCTGTAAGGAAAATGCTAACTTCCCTTTGAAGTTAAAGAAACAGAGACTTAGAGATGCAAAGTACTTGAATGGTGACCAGTGGAACCGAGGCTGGAATCCAGTTTCAATCTAAGGAGTCTTTTTGTTTTGTTTTCAGACAAGAGTGTCACTCTGTGGCCCAGGCTGGAGTGCAGTGGTGCAATCTCAGCTCACTGCAACCTCCACCTCCTGGGTTGAAGCAATTCTCGTGCCTCAGCCTCCCGAGTAGGTGGAATTACAGGCATGCGCCACAATGCCCTGCTAATTTTTTTTTTTTTTAATTTTAGTAGAGATGAGGTTTTACCACATTGGCCAGGTTGATCTCAAACTCCCGACCTCAAGTGATTCTTCTGCCTCAGCCTCCCAAAGTGCTGGGATTATAGGCATGAGCCACTGCACCTGGTATAAGGAGCCTGTTATAGCACTGTCTCTTCCCCTGTGATTGGGGGCTCCATGCCTCTAGCTGGGATGATGATGTCCAGACCTGAGAGGAGCCCAGGGCTACCCACCTTTAAAAGTCAGAGGCAGGAAGCGAGAAACAGTCGCAGGACTGCCCTGCGGGGTGCTGTGGTCACCAGCCCCCAGGCTGGAAGCTGCCTCTGACCTGGCACCTCCCCTCCCAAGAGGCTGCTGCCCGCCTCCCAGCCCTTCTTGGATGGGGTGGAGGTTTCCGTCTCCTTCACCTCGCCAAGCTTCTCCTGTAGCTCCTTTACTTGCTGCTCCAACTGCAGTGTGCTCTTGTTCTCATTGTTCTGGACAGAGAGAAACAATCAGCAGCCACCCACTGCAGCTGGAGACCCCAGAACTTGGTGTCTGCCTCCCATGGCACTGGGAAGGCTGGAGGCAGGTTAGAAAAATCACCCCCTCTCTCCCACAGCCACCTGGCTCACAGGTGCCTTTAGAAGTAACCTTTCACGCGAGGGCTACACTGCCCCATTTTAGAGGTGGGGAAACAAAGGCCCGGAGGGCTAGGGAGGAGGGCAGGCTCCCCAGTTGGGGCAACGCACCAGCTCCTCGAAGACGCTCTGTGGCTTGGCCAGCTGCCGAAGCTTCTCGTGCTGCTCCTGAAGCCTCTCCTCCTGCTTCCGAAGCCTCTCTTCCTGTTCCCGAATCCTCTCTTCTTGTCGCCGGTTCAGGAGACTTATGTGCTGATTGTTTTTGACCTGGGACTGGAGCTCTCCTGCCACTCTCTCTAGTTCCTTCCTCAGGTGCTGCAGCTCCACCTCAGAGGGCACTGCTGGGGGCTCCGGGGGCAAGGGTTCAGCTGAGAAAGGAAGCAGATAATAAGGGCCTCTGGATTCTCGGAAAAGAAAAACCCTCCTCTTGGCGCACAGCTCCTCTCAGGCTCCTCAAACTTGGCCTCACTGCTAATGATTCCTCGCACCCAGATGGTAGCCAGTCTTCCAAAGGACTTTCAGAGAAAGAGCACTGTGGGTGGCTGGCAACGGGCCCTCTTTGCTGATGGGGACACTGAGACACTGAGACTCATTGAGATGACAAGACTCGCCGTCTCCTGGCACAGATCTCTTTCCCTCTGCCTCAAAGCCCTTCCATCCACCCACCTCCCTGGGGCACTCTAAGCCACCCTCACAGCCCTCTGATGCCAGTCCTGCTCCCAGGTCATGCCAGCCCCATCTTACCCATCTGGTTTTTGAGTTTGGACAAGCTCCTCTCCAGCTCCTCTACCCGACGCATATCTTGCTGCTTCTCTTTCTTTAATGTGCAAATCTGCCCAAAGCACAAGGGGAAAGGGCCTTGGAGAGAGGGGCTGGAGGCTGGACAGGCTGCCCTCTCCCTCTCTGCCCCCACCTCCACAAAGCCCAGACCCATGACCACCTCTGGCTCTACTATTCCCATTTTACAGATGCCCAGAAAGATCCAGTGCCCTATCTAATGTGGGGGGGCTGAAGGGTCAGATCTCACCTCCTGCAACATTTTACTCATCCTCTGATGCCACCGGGCCCTCTCTCCTTCTATATGTTCAGCACACTCATCTCTTTCTAATTGGAGTTGTTGAAATGACTCCTTCAACTGCAAGAATGGGCACAGAAGTTAGGAAGGGCTGTCACTGGTCCTCACCTGCTCCTGGCCACCTGGGGTCATCGTCCTTCCACATCCCTCCCTCGGAAAACCTCACCTGTGTCAGCTGCGCTTTCAGCAGTGCCTGGTCCTGTAGGGACTGCTCTAACTCCCACTCTGTATGTGCTTTGCTGCAGCTGGACAACTGGATGGTGAAGAGTTAGAAGTTTCAATCTGGAGAGCCTGGGCATTTCCACACAGTGCCCCTTAACAGGGCTAGGGCTAGGCCCAATATACAACTCGGTCAGTAAAGATCAAGGCATTTCCCAGCCCGTGGTCTGGTTTTTAAAAGAACACAGTAAAGTTGGAACGGACAGGGAATGAGACTGAGTTTATAGCTGGCTAACAGAGGCCCAGAGAGATCAGATAATATTGCTATTGTTATTATTGTCATTATTACCACTGTTTGAACCTTTGTGGAATGCTTCACCAGGTACCGTGCTAACAATCCCATTTAATCCTCGCAACCACCATAGGAGACAGTTACTATGATTCCCTCTATTGTGGAGATGAAAAAACATGGAGTATTTGAGGTTAAGTGCTTGCCTAAGTTCACTTAGGCAGAGCTGGGATATAAACACCCAGGTCTATCCAATTCTCTAAGCCCATTTTTCTTGCTGGGGATGGGGGCACAGATAGGAAGGGGAAAATTAATCTTTTGTTCACTTTTTGACAGGATGATACATTCACATAGTCCAAAACTCAGAAGGTACAGAAGGGAAGTATCTCCCAGCCATCTTGTTCTCTCTCCTGAATTTTTTATGAACCCTTGCAGACATGTTTTATGTATATTATCACAGTATGTACACACACACACACACACACACACACACATGCACGCGTTTCCTCTTTCTACAGAAATGGTAACATACTAAAGGTACTCTTCTGTACCTTCACAGTACAAGTACCCAATACCCCACCTAGGACTTGCCCAAGACCACAGCCAGGTAAGGGCGGGGCAGGCACTTGGCCTCCAAGCTCTGCGTCCAGTGCTCACTCCCCACAGTACCCCCCAACTCACCCACAGCAGCTGACTCGGCCCCAGGCTGCCACTAAAAACCATACAAAAAAGTAGCAAGAAATGGCCATGCTGCCTTCTGGGCAGGACACGCCATCCTGCAGAAGGGACCTTTAGGCTCACTCCTCCATCTGCAAAACCAGGCTCCCAGGGGATGGGGCAGGTGGCTGGACTCACCTGGTTTGCCTTCTTCTTCTCTGTGGCGATGACAGCAGACAGAGCCCTCTCTAACTCTCCTTTACACTGCAATGAATGTTGCAGGCGGACAGCCAGGTCCTTGGACTCTTCTGTAATGAGAGAGTTGAGATGGGGCCCAAAGGACTCCCCCTGAAGACCTGTCAAAGTGCCAGGTTGAAGGATGACAGGGTGCCCAGATTCCCACCTTCAAAGTATCTGAGAGAACGTTCCATGTGGTACAGGTCCGTATTTAGTTCCTCTTTCTGTATGATCAATGTCTGGATTTGAACCTTTGGGAGAAAAGCCAAGCAAGTGCTGAAAGAGAAGGAAAGAAACATTCTCCGGAGGACAGGAGGAAACTGCACACCCTCCACTCACCTCTAGCTCCCTTTCGGCTTTCTGTCTCTCGTTGTTTGCTTTCTTTTCCTGTAGGAAGAGGAAGACAGAGCTCTTACCAGGGGGAGGCAGAGATGGCACAGCAAGAGACATGCCCCCAGAATGCCACCAATGCCCCAGGACAGGCCCACCCATGGGACCAGGTTATCAGGGGCCCTGTGGGGATGGGGTGGAATCTGAGGGGTGAGCCTTCTTCCCCAGGCTGGGAGTGGGTGAGACGAGACTGGGGCCTGTATGTCTGAGTGCCCCCCAAACCCAGCAGTCATGTTGCGAGGAAACGAAATCACGTTACTTCTTCCAGCTGATGTTCCACTTGTTTCTTCTGTTGTTTCTGTGGGGAGAGTCAAATAAGGTGATGGAGGGTGGCCCCCTCAACTCTATTCCCCAGATCAGGAAGCGGTAGGCAGGGGCCAGGAATGGATTTTAAAGGCAAAGTTCTCAGACATAATGGGAACACGAACCGGTAAACTCTCCTCAAGCTCCCAAGGACAGAGGATTTGGGTCTTTGTTGGCTTTTGCCCACAGCCACAGAACTCAGTCTGAATCTGGAATCTCTTGAGAGGACAGCAACATAAACCTCTAGAGATGGAGTTTCAGAAAGGCCCCTCCTTCTGGCAGCTTGTGATTTAGAAAAGTGGGTTCATTCAATAAACACTTACTGAGCACGTATGGGCCAGGTACGGTTCTTCACAGCAGATATAGGATGGAAAAGGACAGACAGGAGCCCTTAGCCCTGAGGTTTCCGTTCTAGGGGGCCTTTAAATCTCAGACTCGAGAGCTAACAGAGACCTTTGATACTCACTACCTCCTCTGGAAACACGAGCCCAAAAAGGAGAGGTGGCTTGTCCAGAATCAAAGAGCAAATTAGGGACTGAGTCATGGCAGAAATACGGGGACCTTGACAACCAGTCAGGCTAGCACTTCCCCAAGAGGCAACAACCCCAGGGCGTGTGTAGCAAGGACTCGAGCAGGGGTGTCTGGAGAGGAGAGAGTCGGCAAAGAGGGCAGCAAAAGAAGAGCCATGCTGCATGCTCTGGGGTCCCTCCAGGTGAGGCCTGGGCACCCAAGCTCCCTATTTGTCCCGGGCACCAGGGACCCCCAGCCCCTTTCTTCAGGGCCCCAAGGGGAAACTGGAGCCCAGGATTGGCAGCGTGGAATCAGGGGACCCCACCGGACTCTTACCAAAGATTTGATGGTGTTCTTCAGTCGACTGATTTTTACGGACGTTGAATCCAGGACTACTGCTCGTTCTTGGCACGGGCTCTGAGGTGCATGCAGAGAGGAGGAGGTGGAGCAGGAGTGGGGAGAGAGGTAGAGAGAACGATCGTTAGGGCTGGGGTGTGTGGGCTGTCTCAGCTGGCAGAGGGGCACCCAGTCCCACCTGGAGGAGGAGGTTGGAGGGTTGACCCGAAGGGTCACTGCACCTCCGCCCAGAGCCTCTTACCTCCAGATCTTTCAGGGTAGCAGATGATGTAGGGCCTTCCCTGTGGAAACCTGTTGCTGACTACAAGAGATGAGAGTGCACATGGAGATGTTCTGTCCCCCACAGTGTCTGAGCCCTCTGACTTCCTTTCTTCCCCATCAACTGCAACATTTTCTTTTCTGCCTATCTTGGACCTTTTGTCCCATAACTCCTTTGTGCCAACTTCTCTCATGGTTCTTATCTCCCCACCATCCCATCCTGGGGCCCCTTCAGTGACTCCTGATGGCAAGTGGCTGTTCTCTTTGTCCTGGTTTCCCCTTGAGACTGGGGATGAGGAAAATCAAACCATATCCTGGGTGTCCTGAGTGTTTACAGCAGGCCATGTACTAGGGATTAACATAAAAACAACAATAACAAATCTCATTTAAACTTCACAAATGGAAGTGAAACAATAACACCTCTATTATACAGATGTGAAAAGAGAGGCCCAATGAGGTCTAGCAACTTGCCCTAAATCATATCCCTAGCAGAGCAGATGGAGAGGCAGGATTCAAACCCAGAATTCCTTTTTTTTTTTTTTGAGACAGAGTCTTGCTCTTTCACCAGGCTGGAGTGCGGTGGCATAATCTTGGCCACTGCAAGCTCCACCTCCCAGGTTCACACCATTCTCTTGCCTCAGCCTTCTGAGTAGCTGGGACTACAGGCACACGCCACCACGCGTGGCTAATGTTTTTGTATTTTTAGTAGAGACAGGGTTTCACCGTGTTAACCAGGATGGTCTCGATCTCCTGACCTCATGATCCGCCTGTCTTGGCCTCCCAATGTGCTAGGATTACAGGCGTGGGCCACCACACCCGGCTAAAGCCAGAATTCTTAACCAGTACCCAGCAGTCCATCCACAATCTTAAGAATTACCCTCTATTGCCCCTTGGGCCCCCTGTCCCCAGAAGCCTGGTCAGCCAAGACTCACATCCCCAGGTGGCTGGCAACCACCGGAAGTGGCTGTCTCAGGGATACTGCCATTTGTTTTCCTGTTTCTGTTCACTCCTGCTGGAACTCTAGGTCTGTTTTTCTGCCAATATTCTTTTAACTGTTGGAAAGAAGAGCAGTAATATTCATGAGAACCGTCAGCCCCTACAGCCACAACCTCCTTTACAGTTTTTACAAAATACACTTACACACCATCTGATTTAATGACACCAACAACTGTACAAGGTGTTGTCACACTCATTTAGTGACTGAGAAGGATTGATATCATGGCTAGAAAAAAAAAAGAAAAAGGCAATACTGGAACTTTGAGACTCAGTCTTCTGACTCCAAGCTCTGAGGTTTTGCCAAGAATCAGCAGCTGCCAGGGACCAAAACCAGAGGCAGAGGTAGAAAAGTAAACATTAAGTAGGCAGGAACTGTATGCCATGTGGTTTAGTCATACATCCTCACACGTCTGTTAGTGTGAAGAAGTGCACCAGTACCTCTCAAACTTTTATATCAATGTGTCCTCATGGCAGAAGGCAGCCTTTCTCTTAAATCAGAATTTATCAGAAAGAGGACAACCCAAGCCTCATTTCAGAGAGAGGTCTGGTATACTCTTAGAAACCTATGTGACTGTCCTCCCTAAGTACATTCATGTTTTTTCTCTTGATCTCAAGAGAATCAAGGGAAACTGATGCTTCAGAAAGATGTCCCACATTTATCCTGTGGCACTCAAAGTACCCAAGGTTGAGATAATATGAGGAAGATTCAAGGTGTCAAGTTCAGTTTCCCAAGATCTATTCCACAGAAGATGAGCAAATCTCACTTCAGAGACCACTGACTGAAGGAGAGTCTGGTCCCAGAACCATGGAGAATTAGAATATGAGGTGGAGAACTCAGAAAAAAATGTTAAAATCTCTCTGGAAAGTAGAAGCCTGGGAGAAAACCAAATCAAACCCATTCTCTCATTGCCACCCAGAGATACTGTCAATGTTTTGAGTTCATGGGGGAAGTGTAGGCTTTTCCCACCGTCAACATCTGTAAGGGAGTGAGGCAGCCTGGAACCTCTTGCTCCTAGGTCCCATAGTCTCCATTCCCCTTCCAGCTGGAAATTTGTGCTGTGACCAGAGGAACCAGAAACGGGGTGAGAACGCTTAGGGGACTGGGTCGTAAGGTCAAAGGCCAGTCTTGCAGTAACGGCAGTTACTAGGTGGACTGTGACATCACAACATTCCACTCCTCCTGGTCGGGGGGAGGGACCATGTCAGCACCATGTCCAAGTCGCTGCTCCACGATGGGGGAGGGAAGCACAGGGTTGGGACCCAGCTCCTTGGAGACGCCAGCACAAAGAACCCAGGGAGGTCGACCTTGAGGCAGCAGGAGGGGAGGGCACAGTCTGCAGCAGGGAGTCCCAGGAGTCACCAGCCCAAAGTCACCCAAGGATGACTGGCGAGGGTGGGGCCTGGCTCCTTGGAGATGAGAGCCCAAAGAGCCCACGGAGATCAAGCTTGGGGCGGCAGGAGATGAGGGCCCAGTAATGGAGCGGGAAGCCCCAGGAGTCACCCACCCAAAGTCACCCTGGGGTGATTGGCGAGGGCAAGGACTGGGCTGCTTGCTGAAGGGGTGGGGCTGACTGACAAAACTTTGGTGGGGGTAGCCCAAGGCACCGGGGTTGGGGGGACCAGTCCAGTGTGCCTCAGGAGTCATATAGACTCTGGCAGGGGTCTTGTCATCAGAGGGGATCTGTGGCTGGGTTGAGGGGCTATGACCTAGTGCGTTTTTACCTTTTTCTTGGCTGCAGCCAATTTGTTGTGTTGAGTTTCTTCTGCCATTGCAGGGTGGGGAGGGAGGAAGGGTTGGGGCCACAGCAGCAAAATCCCAATAAGAACCGATCAAGGCCTCCAGTCACCTACCAGGCAGCTGTGTGACTGAGCCAGAGGAGGCGTAACCAGGGCCCCAGTAGAATGCGGAATAGGGGCGTGGCCTTAATGCTCCAAGCCCATTGGTCAATGAGAAAGATGAAAGGGAAAGGGGGCGTGGCCAGACAGCAGCGTGTCCAGAGGGCCCTGTGGCTCACAAGGAAAGCTGCCCGTGGCAACCGCTCTCCCCACCCACTCTAAGAGAGGGGAGAGGCCTCCCACTCTGGAAGAGAAGAGGGGCTGGCTTTTGCTTTAAAAGCTTTAAAACTTTAAAAAATATATGTGTGTATACTTTATATATATGTGTGTCCATATGTGTGTATCTATGTTTTTCTCCATAGCTGTCTTCATTATCCAGCTTCTATGCAAGGTCTATGATTTTGGCCTATATTTTTCATCTTTGATTACAGTACAAAAATTACCAGTATTACCTTAACTGAGATACAGATCCTATAAAAATGGAAAATGCATAGCATGCTTGATGATTAATGAAGCAGACTATATTATCCAACATTCTAATAAGATAAAATAATCACAATGATTTCTCTTTTTTGGAAAAATGTTTCTCTTATTCTCCTACGTTTTCGTTAAGATTTTTTTTCTTAAACAAGAAACATGTCTAATATCTGTAAAAGCACAAAGCTTTTGGGCTGGGTGCAGTGGCTCATGCCTGTAATTCCAGGACTTTGACAGCCCAAGGTGGGTGGATCATGAGGTCAGGAGATCGAGACCATCCTGGCTAACACGGTGAAACCCCATCTCTACTAAAAATACAAAAAAGGCCGGATGTGGTGGCAGGCAGCTGTAGTCTCAGCTACTTGGGAG
Organism: Homo sapiens; assembly: GCF_000001405.40. Lineage (NCBI taxonomy): Eukaryota > Metazoa > Chordata > Mammalia > Primates > Hominidae > Homo > Homo sapiens. The sequence continues at coordinate 1,974,940 of NW_012132920.1, forward strand.
GCTGAGGCAGGAGAATGACATGAACCCCCGAGGTGGAGCTTGCAGTGAGCCAAGATCATGCCACTGCACTCCAGCCTGGGCTACAGAGCAAGACTCCATCTCAATTAATTAATTAATTAATTAATTAATTAAAATAAAAAATTAATAGTAAGAGCAATGTGAACAAAAGATGCAATAAAATAATTTAGAAAATACAAACTATTAAAAAATAGATTTTAAAACTTGTGCAACGAAGTCAAACAGCAGCCAACGAAAATGTATACCCTTACACGTTTGTTTAAAAAGCAATTTAAATTACATTGATCCACTAAACTAGGAAAAGCAAAACAAACAAAAAGGGGGAAATAATTAAGACCTAAGGAAAAAGAAAAACCACTAGATTTAAAAAATAAAACTAAAGGAGGATTCTTTCAAAAGACTGAGATAATAAAACAGTCAAGCCTCTGATAAGTAATCAAGATAAAGAAAACTTTGAAGAGAAAAGGGCATATAGCCACATGTGAATATGATGCAAAAAGTGAAAACTTTACACATCTTTACAACACCTTAGAAGTATGGATGACATGTTCATTTTTTTTTTTTTTTTTTTTTTGAGACGGAGTCTCGCTCTGTCACCCACGCTGGAGTGCAGTGGCGTGATCTTGGCTCACTGCAAGCTCCGCCTCCTGGGTTCACAACATTCTCCTGCCTCAACCTCCCGAGTAGCTGGGACTACAAGCGCCCGCCACCACGCCTGGCTAATTTTTTGTATTTTGGCTTAGTAGAGACAGGGTTTCACCATGTTAGCCAGGATGGTCTCTATCTCCTGACCTCGTGATCCACCTGCCTCGGCCTCCCAAAGTGCTGGGATTACAGACATGAGCCATCGCACCCATCCAAAGTGTTCATTTTTTTTTAAGAACCTACAGTTACGAAAAGTAACTGAAGAAGTGGGAAATCTGGAGACCAATATGCAGAAGAAGGAAAAAGACAAAGACTCATCCTCCAAATTGGATATTTAAACCAGAATTTGTCATCCTCAGCAATATTGATATATTGGGCCAGATAATTCTTTGTGGAGGGTTCTCTTGGTGTGTTGTCGGGCATTTAGTAACATTCCCTCTACCCACAGAATGCCAATGAGACCTCCCGACCATGACCAGTTGTGACCACAAAAATGTCTCCAGATATTTCCAAACGTCCCATAGGAGGCAAAATACTCCTGCAGTTGAAAATTACTGTGTAAACCAGATCTACATCCTAGATCTTAGAAAAAAGATGTAAAGCTTCCCAACTCAGCCCTGCATACCCTTGATACTGAAATAACAGCCTTAAAGGAAACAAACAAAACTATAATCTTATTTAATACAGAAGTAAAAATGCAAAAATAAAATATTACCATAGCCATTCTAACAGTGTTTATTATAGGAATGCAAAGATAATTCAAAATTAGGAAAATTTCATCAGGCAATTCACAAATTATATTTCTACATATAATTGAAGGCACAATCATGAAAAACAAAGTAGCTCTATATGCATTAAGTCCATGATCTATTCAGTGAAAAACACAAGTTGCACATGTCTTACAGAAGGAAAACTTAACACTGAACACAGATTCTCACCATCTGCTCTTTGTCCTGAGGCTCCAATAGAAATACAGTGAAGAATAAACATTGTATAAGCACACCATTACAAAAAAGGAATGGGGTTACCAACAGAAGAGAATTCATCTTCATTAGACAATGACAGTACATGGAAAATGGTTAATTCATGGAGCAAAGCAACAAAGGTGGAGGTCAGGGGGATACTGAGAACAAGGAGGCTAATCTGTCCCACAGCAACCTGGAAAGGTTCTAGACTCAGACACGAGGTACCCCCGACAGTGGGACTGATAGGCAAGACTGAAAACAGAGATTAAGCAAAAGCCCGGATAGAGAACACATTTCACAGGCCCTGAAACACACTGCTGGCCCCATCTCCTTAAACAGAACCCAAGCAAACGTATCCACCTCAGGCAAGAGAATGTAGATTTTACATCCAGAGGAATGGAGTAGTCATCCAGCCATCATTTATGATTGCAACAGGAGACAAGATAGAGGGATGGAGGATAACAATTAGGAATCAGCATACATTCCCCTTAAAGCTATCAGTTGACAAGTCTTGGCCACAAAGAACTCCCAATCAATTTTTATTTATTTTTATTTTTATTTATTTATTTATTTATTTTGAGACAGGGTCTTGCTCTTTCGCCCAGGTTGGAATGCAGGAATGCAGTGGCATGATCAGAGCTCACTGCAGCCTCAACCTCCTGGGCTCAAGCAATCCTCCTGCCTCAGCCTCCCAAGTAGCTGGGACTGCAGATGGGTGTCACCACACCTAGCTATTTTTTTTTTTTTGTAAAGATGGGGTCTCACTATGTTGCCCAAACTAGTCTTGAGCTCCTGGGCTCAAGTGATCCTCCCACTTCGGTCTCCCAAAGCACTGAGATTATAGGTGTGAGCCACCACACCTCGGCTCCCAGTCTTTTAGTACCTCTCTCAAATATGAATGAACAAATAAAGGAATGGAAAAAAGACTACAGGTCAGGCACGGTGGCTCATGTCTGTAATCCCGCACTTTGGGAGGCCGAGGTGGGTGGATCACCTGAGGTTGGGAGTTCCAGACCAGACTGACCAACATGGAGAAATCCCATCTCTACTAAAAATACACAAATTAGCTGGGCGTGGTAGCACATGCCTGTAATCCCAGCTACTTGGGAGGCTGAGGCAGGAGAACTGCTTGAACCTTGGAGGCAGAGGTTGTGGTGAGCCAAGATCACATCATTGTACTCCAGCCTAGGCAACAAGAGCGAAACTGGGTCTCAAAAAAAAAAAAAAAAAAAGACTACAAATGATAAGCAACATAGAATAGATATTTAAGGAAAGGCTTTAAAAAGAAAAATAAGACCAAAATAAACTAAGAAAAAAATTATTAAAGAACAAGGAGATGCCAGGGAGAAGACAAAGAGTATCAAAATCACTTCATAAAGACACTTGTGAATATATTACATGTATAAAACAAAACAATATGAATAAGAAATAATCAGAGAAGAAAAAGTTCTTAGAACTCATGCTCCATCTTGGGAGTTGGTCTCCAATGAGCCATACCTCCTGTCATCATGTCCTCAGACAGGCCCATCCCATAGTCAATCTGGGTTGGCCCCAACACTCACTTTAACCTATAGCATGTGGTAGAAATGACACTGGACCTGTTCCAGGTCTAAGCCTTAAGAACTCCTGGCAGCTCCATTTCTGTGCTTCTGGAAGCCAAAAATAAGAATTGGCTACCTTCTTGGAGAAAGAAAAGCCACATGAAGAGATCCGAGAGGATGAGATGCTATGCAGAGAGAAAGGCCACATCAAGAATCACCAAGGCAGCAGACCTGTGGGTAAAGAAGCCGTCTCAGACATTCCACTGCAGCTGAGCATCCAGATGACCAGTCCCTGACACTGTTTAACCACACAGTGAGAGCTGCCAAATGAGACCAGCAGAAAAACTGTCCAGCTAGCCCCAGGTAATCCATACAGTCGTGACAGATAGACAGATGTGTAGTTTTAGGCCATTAGGTTTTGGGATAATTGGTTAAGCAACAATAAATAACCAAAACAAAACTTAAAGTTATGACAGTCCAAATAAAATTTCCTGAAAGTCGAAAGATAAGAAAATATTCCAGAACTGAAAATTTAAAAAACATTTAGAAATAACGTGAGATATAAGACTCAAGACAAGAGGTCTAAAATCCAATTAACAGACACTTCCAAATGAACAAATAAAATGGAAAAGAGAAAGTTAACAACAAAAATATGACAAGATTCAAGACTCCAACTTTGAAAGAGCCTATCCATAGGCCTGTTCATTTGGTGTACCCAGCATAATGAATGAAAAAAGACCCACACTAAGTACACTGTTGTGCTATTTCAGCTCACCAAGGAAAAGACAAACTCCTAAAAGCTTCCAGGGAGAAAGTCATGCATAAACAAGTGAAACTCAGGATGGCATGAGGCTTCGCCACCACGACTGGTTAGAAGACAACAGCACAGACTTTGAAATTCTAAGGTAAAATTATCCTCAACCTAGAAATACGTAATCAAGCAAACTATCAATCAAGTGTGAGGGTAGAATATGAGAGACGTGAATACTGATGGGGATGTGATATGCAGCAGGCACTGTTCTAAATGGTTTACATGTACCAACCCAATTAAGAAACTTAAAATACACACGCGCGCACACACACACACACACACACACACACACAGTTTTTCCTGCTAATCATTTTACGATGAAACAGCCAAGTAGCTAACCCAGAGCCCACAAAGGCAGAGTAAAAATTCTAACACTTGGTAAAATAAAAATGCACATATACCCTGTGATCTAAAAAAAAAAATGCTTAAATATTCAAAGACAGACAGCAATTACAGCTACTGAGAACATCACTGTAAGCAAACTGAGGCAGAGAAAACAAAGGTGCTAATGAGGATTTGAACCACCTAACATGCAGAAACCCACTGGATGCTTTCCTAGGTTCCGAGCTGGCATTGTCTTTCAGAATGATCTAGAAGAGGTCACATGACACTGTTACAAAGGATCTGGAGAAAGGGACCCTTGCTTTATCACTCCGGCTCTCCAGTCATGCTTCACATTTTCACTTCTTACACTCTTTCACATGAAGTCAATTTACAGACCTCCATCATGCCCTTAGAGACCTTTTTGTAATATTCTGACAAGTTCTGGATGTCATCTCTGCACTTTTGACAAATTCTTAGCAGTTAACGTACAAGGCAGTTAACATTTTTGTTCACGGTATAGCTAGAAAAGGGTCATATACTCAATAAAACAAATATTTACCAAGCATTCATTGAGTGGAAGATAAAACGCACAAAGCATAATTATAAAATATTCTCCCCTGCCATGATACAACAAAATTTTTAAAGGCTTACAGAATATAGCATAACATGACCAAAGCAAAAATAGTAAGGACTAAAGAGGGGAGGAAGGGAAAATATCAGCATGAACTGAATATGACCCAGAAGAGTCTTGATGGTCAGACATGTAAAGATGTATTGGGCAGGGTTAAGGGGTGGAAGTCAGGGGCACAGGTCAGGGGCACATTCTACAAGGGAAAAACAGCTGATACAGAAGCCTGAAAGGTAAAGTGGGCAGAGCACCTGTACAGGACTCTTACCTGCCACAGCGAGGGCACAATGCGCCTTTCCAGAACACAGCAGCGCGCAGCCAGGCCTGGGGCAGAGGGATCACTCAAACAGCACCAGAGGCTGCATTCCTACTTTTCTTCCGTCAACAAGTCCATTTTCGTTGTTAGTTTCTCCTTCAACACAAACTTAAAAACAAATGGCTGAACACGCAGGAACAAGGAAAACCTGACTGAAGAATGAGACGTTAAAACTTAAGGGCCTTGGGTCCTGGCACGGTGGCTCACGCCTGGAATCCCAGCACTTTGGGAGGCAGAGGTGGGTCATTTGAGGTCATGAGTTCAAGACCAGCCTGGCCAACACGGTGAAACCCCGTCTCTACTAAAAACACAAAAGCTAGCCAGGCGTGGTGGCCGGCGCCTGTAATTTCAGCTACTCGGGAGGCTGAGGCAGGAGAATCACTTTAACCAGTGGACTGTCAAGAGAGGTAGGCTGCAGTGAACCGAGATCGCGCCACTGCACTCCAGCCTGGGCTACACAGTGAGACTCTGTCTCAAAAAAAAAAAAAAAGAAGTCATGGTCATGGTAAAAAACCTATGGCTTTGGAAGGCTTTCTCGGTAACGTCCTAGAATTAAGGTTAAGCCTGCGTTTCATGTTAACTGAACAGGAAACCAGCCTGACCAACATCCTTCTGCCCGGTGGCTTGCTCTCAGCTCCTCTTCGTTGGGCCTTGGGCAGCCAGACTGTCTAGTTTTAATCCTTGCTCTGCCACCTGTGACCTTGGACAAGTTACCTACCTTCAGTTACCTCATCTACAAAATGCAGATATTAATAATACCCTCTTTTTAATTTATCCAGAGGATTAAAAGAGTTAATAAAAAGTAAAAAATAAAAAGACTTGGTAAGCATAGGCACAGAGGAAAAAAAAGTAAAAATAAATAATTAAATAAAAAGACCAGTGCCTAGCACATAAAATTTCATCAGGAATTAATTCTATAATATGAACTCAATTTTGCAAAACTTCAAAGTACGTACAACTTTTAACTTACTAGGGTATACATACCAGTAATAAATTCACAACGGTAGACATGTTTGCCTACTGTAAATATAACAAAGACTAAACAAGCAGATACTAAATCATTAAGCAATTATCAGTTAGTATCTTTAATTTTCTTATACTTCTATATTTTCTATAGATCATCTTTGTAACAAGAAGAAAACCAACCAAATGAAAATGAAATGAATTCTCTCAAAAAGAATTAAGTCAAGACAGGAAGAAGGCTCGCAAAGTAATATAAAATATATCTTATGGTTTATGTAAAATTCTTAATAAAATACCTTCTTTGCTCCAAGCTGCACTCTGGCTTTGCCTTTGAGTCAGGTGGCATTTCTTTGCACGATGACTGGTTTTATTGAGTAGGCACTGCTTCAGCCCTACAGGAAGAACAAAACCTCTCTGGAACACAGCAGCATTCCTGACTCCCACTTGAGGAGGCCTAACAAAACGGCATATGCCTCAACAGCAGCAGATCAGTGTTAAAAAGTCTGGAGTCAAGGGGAAAAAGTAAAATTGGACCATTTCCAAAATCTCACAAAAAGCAACAAACTGACGTTCTAAGTGCCCAACATGAGCAAATTAGAACCTTAAATAAAGGTCACTCTTAATGCCTATCCCAGCATAGATGCAGCACCAAGTACAGTGTCATTTTACTGGTTTACCTTTTTCATTCTTGAAAGTAGGAGCTATGAAAAAAAAACACTAAAATTTCTCTAAGAGAACCTTCTACTTTCTGTCTAACTTACATAATCAAAACACTCTATTGAGGGTGAAAATTGAATATTATAAGAAAATAATCACGTGTTTTGCGAGAAGTTGCAAATATAATGCTCCTCCACCCAATACCTACCTTAAAAAGAAAAAAGGAAACATACAAAATTATCTCGAGAATTATTCCTGCTTAAACAATGTCTACGTGCCATTACTAAGAAAGTATGCACACAGTAAAGATGAGAAGAGAACATGCAAGCGTGAACATACTTGTTAGGGATATAGGACTATGGGTAATTTAAACATTTTAATGGTATTACTCTCATGTAATTGCTCTGAAATTCTAGTCAGTTGTTTGAAATGGCTCTTAGAACAGAATACTTTGACATTTTTATGATGTCAAAAACTAAGAACTTAGCCCTAAATATTCCAAAGAATAGGTGCAGAAGAACCCGTTTCCTTAAACGGCATTTGAGTATTCTTCACAACTCAAACTTTCTCTCCCATCCTGTGATGGCCAAGAGTTTTTCCTCTGACGACGGCACTGACCTTACCCTATCCAAAATATGAACATCTGCATGGTTTCCTGGTTCAAATTGTTTTTATCCATTCTGTCGTGAGAATCAAATGGTTCAGACCATGCAGCACCTCTCTGGGACTTCTCAAGTCCTTTCTAGATCTGAACACTATTCTCTGAACCAAAGACAACTTCTGGGGGTGTACCAAATCTCCCATTAGAAAATTATTAAGATCAAGATGTTTTAACCTTTTAACTCTTTCTCAAACAAAATAAATTCGTTTCTCCTTTACTGTTATTTTAAATTTCAAAATACACAGATAGTATGTCTAAAATAAAATCAAGAGAATGACAGTTTTAGAACACAAACTGTGGTAATTTTGAAAACACAAAAGCTAAGACCACTAATTAGGTCTATGTGGACACCAAGTCCACCACAACCTGTTCTGTCCTCCGGGGCTCTGCCCACGCCTTTCCCTTGCCTGAGATTCCTTCTGCTTCCTACCCTTCCAAATGCTGTATTTCCCCCTGGAAGACTTGCCAAGACCACTCTAACCTGCACATCTCCCATTCCAGCTAACCAAAGGCATCCTTGGGTTGACTAAACCAAGTTATTTTGCAGACAAGGCATCTAAACACTTCCACTGTAGACTATTCACCTTAATAATTGTTATTGTGACATTATTCAATAATAAAATGAGGGAAAGAAGTCCTCTTCAATCCCTTATCCTGGAGAACCCAAGCAAGTGTCTTTCCCACTTGCTTTGCCCAAACCCTGGGACCTTTCTAAGTAAAAGTTTAATGGAAGGGAAAGAAAATCTAAAAGAAAAACTCTCCAAGAAATTAAACTCGGGCAAAGATTCATGGGATTAAAAATTTTTATTCTTTGTGTATCTGATTTCCGAAACATAGAAATCTCTCTCCCACTCCTTAAACCTGCCACTGGGCTAAGAGAGTATTGTACAGAATATGCACTCACTGACTTAACAGAATTAGAACATCCAGGCACTCACTGAGATTTTGCTTCCACAACCGCTCAAAGTCTAGTCATTAGTTCATGAGTTAACACCACACTTGACCTTCAAATTTTGGAAATGCTGACGGTAGACAGGGACTTGTTTTGGGAAAGGAAGTACACAGTAGACATTGTTACCCATGACCCAACCACCACCACCTTTCCTTTAAAGAACCCCACTCTTCCTTTAAGGTTGCAGAGTCTCAGAAAGTGGGAAGAAAGGAAGTTTTTGCATTTTCAGGTCAAAACGAAGTACATTTGTGCAACCACATAATGCCCATGCAAAGGTTTCTTGAAATCTAAACACAAGACAGAAGTAGTTCTAGCACCTCCACAAAAAGTAAGGTAAGTAAACTTTTCCTTAATATACACTTTCAGCAGCATCAACACCTAAAAGTGGTTGACTTTACTACTGTACTAAATTAAATTACATTCATTTTGTGAATAGGTGTTCCAAATTCGTACTGATCTTTGTCTCCAAGGGGTTCCTGCTGAATATTGAGACAGTTGAAGATTACTAGGGGAAAAAATTCTTAATAATCGAAGTAAGGATCATCTAAGGATAATATGCCACATATACAGACACAGTCACATTTTCAGCTTTACAAAAGTTCAGTTATCAAAGTTGTACAGCAAACACTATCCTAAGCTTAGCGTCTTCAGGCATTTGATTTATAATCACTGTAAAGAAAAATCAGTCACAAAATGCCACTGTTGTATGATTCTATTTATATGAAATGCCCAGGATAGGCAAATCTACAGAGATAGAAGTTAGATCAGAGGTTGCCAGGATCAATGGTGGGGGAGAGAGCTACAGGGAGTGACTGCTAGTGGGTACGGGGTTCTTTTTGGGGAGATGAAAATGTTCTGAAATTAGGGAGTGGTAATGGCTGCATAACTCTGAATATACTAAAAACCACTGAACTGTACACTTGAAGGGTGAGGCTTATCATACAAAAACTGTATCACAATAAAGCTCTTAGTTTAAAAAATGTTTGTCTATGTCAAGAAACAAAGAAATAGGGTCATAGCTAGAAGATATGGGATATAAAATACTGGAACAAAACTGCTTAATAATATATCTAGAATCACACAATGCTTAGTCTTTACGCTAACTAAAATCACGAGATTTGTGTTTTATCAGTATTTCACATTTTTTACTTCTTCTAAGTCAGCCAGTAATTCCTCCTTCTCACTTAATCGTTGACTACAAAGACCAAGCCATTTTGACTCTGCCACCGATGAGCTTTCACATTTCTTTCCTCCTTCCATTCCCATGACTACCAAACCAGTGCAGGTTCTCCTCACTTCACTCTAAGACAACAGCGTGGCCCTCAAATACTGTCACACTCTTCAAGGCTCTGTGAGCACAATCTGTCTCATATTCTCTTCTGCTGTCACCAGATTTATTCTAAGACCGTTTCTTCACTGTTACTCCCCTGTTTCTCAACCAGTTACACAGAAAGACGAATATCCAGGCATGGTGTCATGTGCCTGTAGTCCCAGCTACTCAGGAGGCTGAGGCGGCAGGATCGCTTGAGAATGTGAGATTCAGACTGCAGTGAGCCATGATCATGCCACCGCACTCCAGCCTGGGCAACAGAGTGAGATTGTCTCAATAAATAAATAAGTAAATAAATAAATAAATAAATGAATAAATAAATGTGGTCTATCCATGCAACGGAATACTATAAAATTATCAGCCTTAAAAAAGAAAGAAGCCCTGTCACATGCTGCAATATAGATGAACCTTGAAAACATTACACTAATTGAAATCAGCCCATCACACAAAGACAAATGCTGTACAATTTCTCTTACATTAGGTTCGAAATTAGTCAAACTCATAGAAACAGAAAATAGAGCGGTTGTTTCCATAAGCCAGGGGATAGAGAAATGGGGAGTTGTTGTATAGTGGCTATAGTTTCAGTTCTCCAAGAGAAGCAAGTTCTAGAAACTCGTTACTCAACATGTATATTTTTAACACTACTGCACTGTATACTTACAAGTGGCTAATATGGTAAATTTTATGTTGTGCCTTATCACCATAATGTTTTTAAAAGAAGGGGTTTGTGTTTCCCTTCGTTGTGATCACCCATTTTTCACTTCAGCATTTTGAACTTGAGATTTCCTGTAGCGGTTTTACTGAGCCCTGCAGTTACCGGCTCAGAATGTCTCCACCACCTTGTAACCTTGTAGGCAGACACTTTTCAGCATCTTATTGGGCTCCGTGTGCTTGATGCTTAAAGTGACATGGAGACATGCCACTTGCTGAGAAGCAAAGAAAGGCAAAAGGTGACTGCTTTCCTGGCATCGATGAAGGCAGAGAGAAGGGATCTTGGAGGCACAGATATTAAGCCATAAGCAATAACATGGGTTGCCAAAAAGAGAACTAACCCCTCTCCTGGTAACATTTCCAGGTGTTTTTCACAGGGCCAGTGGATTTCACAATGTGAGTGCTGTCCAGCACCAAAGGGAATGGCCAACAGGCATGGAGCAGCCTACAGCGTCCAGCACCCAGTAGGATGGCCAGGAGGCACGGAGCAGCCTGCCTGTCCCAGGAAAGCAGGAGTCACAGGACACAACTGGACCCAGGTAGGCATGTATGTTACTTTCCTGTGGCTGTTAGAGCAAATTACCAAAAATGTGGTGACTTAAAACAACAGAAATTTATTTTCTCACAGTTTTGGATATCAGAAGTCCAAAATCAGTATCACTGGGCTGAAATCTAGGTCTCAGCAGAGCCAGTGCTCTCAGAGGCTGAGGGGAAAATCCATCCTTTGACTTGCGCAGCTTCTGATGGCTGCTGGCATTCATTGGCTTGCAGCTCCACCACTCCAGGCTCTGCCTTCTTGGTCACAGGGCCTCCTTCTCTTCTGTCTGAAGTTAAATCTCCTTTATCTCCCTCTTATAAGGATATATGTGCCAGGATTTAATGCCCACGGAGACAATCCAGGATAATCTCTCCTCAAGATCCTTAACTTAATCATACCTGAAAATATGCTTTTTCCAAATGAGGTAACATCTACAGGTTCTAGGAGTTCCAGACCAGCCTGGACGACATGGTGAAACACGGTCTTTTTTTTTTTTTTTTTTTTTTTTTTGAGCGGAGTTTCGCTCTTGTTTTCCAGGCTAGAGTGTTTTCCGGTCTCGACTCACCGCGGCCTCCACCTCCCGGTTAGGTGGTTCTCCTGCCTAAGCCTCCTGAGTGGCTGGGATTGCAGGCATGAGCCACCATGCCAGCTAATTTTGGTGGTTTTTTTTTTGTACAGACGGGGTTTCTCCGTGTTGGCCGGGCTGATCTCAAGCTCCTGACCTCGGGTGATCCGCCCGCCTCCGCCTCCCTGGGTGCTGGGATTGCAGGCGTGAGCCACCGCGCCCCCGGTCCAATTTAGTAACCAGAAAGGAATAGATCGGCCTGGCGTGGTAGCTCATGCTTGTGATCCCAGTACTGTGGACGGCCGAGCGCGGCGATCGATTGAGCCTAGGACTTCCAGACCGGCCTGGGCAACGTGGTGAAACACTGTCTTTTTTTTTTTTTTTTGAGTGGAGTTTCGCTCGTTTTGCAGGCTGGAGTGCAGTGGCGTGGTCTCGACTCACCGCGGCCTCCACCTCCCGGGTTTAGGTGGTTCTCCTGCCTCAGCCTCCTGAGTGTCTGGGATTGCAGGCATGAGCCACCATGCCAGCTAATTTTGGTTTTATTTTTTTGGTACAGACGGGGTTTCTCCGTGTTGGTCGGGCTGATCTCGAGCTCCTGACCTCAAGTGATACGCCCGCCTCCGCCTCCCTGGGTGCTGGGATTGCAGGCGTGAGCCACCGCGCCCCCGGTCCAATTTAGTAACCAGAAAGGAATAGATCGGCCTGGCGTGGTGCCTCCCCCTTGTGATCCCAGGACTTTGGAAGGCCGAGTGTGGCAGATCGCTTGAGCCTAGGAGTTCCAGACCGCCTGGGCAACATGGTGAAACCCGGTCTCTGTTTTGAGATGGAGTTTCACCCTTGTTGTCCAGGCTGGAGTGCAATGGTGTGATCTTTGCCCACCGCAACCTCGGCCTCCCGGATTTAGGTGATTCTCCTGCCTGGGCCTCCCTAGTAGCTGGGATTACAGGCATGAGCCACCATATCCGGCTAATTTTGTAGTTTTTTTCTTTTTTTTAGTAGAGACGGGATTTCTTCATGTTGGTCAGGCTGGTCTCCGACCTCGGGTGATCCGCCCACCTCTGCCTTCCAAAGTGCTGGGATTGCAGGCCTGAGCCACTGCGCCCGACGGAAACCCAGAACGGAAAACAAAACAAAAACCACAAAGATTAGCCGGGTGTGGTGGGCCGCGCAGGTAGTCCCAGCTACTCTGAAGGCTGATGGAGGAGGATTGCTTCACCCCGGCTTCTAGGTGGCAGTGAGCTATGATGGCGCTGCTGCACTCCAGACTGGGCGACAGAGCGGGACTCTGTGGCAGGAAAAGGGAAAGGAAAAAAAAAAGAATGTAAATAAAATTGCTAACTCAAGGAACAGCTTGACAGTATATTATTGCGACAAATAGAGGCAAAGGTTAGCAGACACCAGTGTTCACTTAGTGGGACCTGCGGGTGTTCCCCCCATAGGAGGCTGCTACTTTCCCACAAGAAATCCATTACTGACTACCGATAAAAGAACACATCGTTGGTTTCTTACAATATACAAATAGCTAAACTTTATATAGCCACGACCCTCTTCTAGCACTGCTCTAAGCCTTTTCCTGCTCTGAAATAGCTACTATTGTTACCTCCATTGTAGAGAAAACAGGTGCCGGAGGCTGTTGTGGAAGGCCCAGGGAAACTGACTATGAAATTGACTTGTTGTAAGTTTCAGACTTAAAAGTTCTTCCTGCTCTGCGCCTTACATTGCTACATTTTAGTTAAGGTACCTCTTACAATACTGGTCCTTTCTGTATTTGGAGGGACTTCTCTTGCAAATTGAAGTTTTTTCTTGCGCTAAGCATTTGGTCATGAGATTATCTGCGTTTTACATCAGTTTAAATACCTCTTTAGACATTGTTCAGTTAGGAATGTAAATAGGAGCTAACATTGTGTGTAAAAGGAAAGAACATCTGATTACAACCACTTTTGTTTCATAATACAAATATAAATCAATATGTTATTGGAAATGCAGGCTGGGAGGGGAGGGAAAATATGCATAGAGAAAAGCCCCATCTCTGCTTGGAGTTCAGCACTGGGTCTCTTTTTCCTTTCCACCTTCCTTGTCAAGGCTGCCACAGTGACAAGCACACAGGGGTGCCTTTAGTGACACCTGCTGCGACAGACCTGGCAGAACGGATTGCAGATTTGCATGTTTCCTGGCTGCCTCTGCTAGCCTGAGTCAGCAGCCCACTCCAATTCATGCTGAGCTTAGACAGCTCAGGTTTGCAAAATTATCCCTTCCCTTGGAGCAACCGCTTTCCAGTCTCTTCATCATTCCTAAAGGAGAATGACATACATGCCAGCATGACAGAGGTCCAGAAATTTATAGAAGCTTCATTGTGAGCCTATATCCTTAACAGGGGTTCAAACTACCAACACCGAATGAAGAGAGAGGTTTTGCAGTAAAGCAGGAAGTCATTAAAATAATGAATCACCCAGCTAGGTTTTGAGCTCCTTTCCCACCAATTTAATGGAAAGTTTTATTGTCTTTACAATGTACACTTTCATAAATTTTGCATAAATTTATTATTCACATCTTAACATAGGTAACTCCTTAGTGTTTGATCACTGAGCAAATTATATGCAGCAAAACAATCCTATATTTTGGTGAACTCATAGCTTAGAAAATACTAAAGACTCATTGTAAACTGAGGGCAGCATTAAGCAAATTATATTTACCTTTGTGACTGCAAAACTTAATGATTCAATGCTTTTCCCATGAAATTTATCTTCCAATACTGATAGTTTTTTAAACAAAAAATATGAATTAAATATCAATTAAAATTTTATCATTGTTTTCAGAAACTGTGACTTCACTAGTTATGAACAGACTTGAAATGTATAGTTTTTAAGTTTGGAAATTCTTTGTAGTCTCATTTACTTTTCCAGGAAGGAAGTGAGATATTTTTTGCCACTGTTGCCTGGTTTTTGTTTGTTTTTTGATCATAAACAAAACTTAATGGAGCCTCAAATCTACTAACTCGGTCCTCCTCTGGCAATATGCCTTTTTCTGATTTCTAGATATCACTTGATATTTTTTAACACACTAATTTTATTATTTAAAAATTTATAAAAGTACTCAGAAGTAAGAGGCAAATTAAATTTGAAACCTTAGTGGTAATACCATCATCCAAAGTCATCATCAATAATATTTTGGCATATTTTATTTTAAAATACATTTCAGCACAGTTTAGTTATATTTGTTATATCTGTATCAATAAACTGTTTTCATATGTCATTACTTTTATGGATATAATTTTTGACGTGCGACTAATACGAAATCTTATATACTTGCTATAGTTGACCTTGTGAGACATTTAGATTTTCAACTGTTTAGTACTTTAATAACCAGTTTTTATTCTAATATCATTATTAGAATAATAATATTACTATAGTATTATTATTATTGTAGCAATAACTTGTTTTTAGAATAAATATCCTATTTCTCATTTAACTTGATCGGATCCGTGCATGGACAATTATGTTGGGAACATAGAATGTAACTGGCCCTGTTTCAACCCCTTAGATGTGGCCCTCAGTTCAGGGAAGGGAGGAGTTCTCTACTGGGCTGATAAAGCAGAATTCAGAAACATTGTTTTCTTCTCTACCTGGTGTCTTACAAAACCAGAAGATGTGAGTGTGACTCGTAAAGGCAAGAGCATGTATATTATGCAAAAGCAGCCTGAAATATTTTATTCACAGACAGACAGACAATGCTTGACTCCCTGCTAATCTGAAATACTTCGTGGGGAGGGCCAGGGAAATCAAAACAAAATTTCAGAAGTAGAATGAGCTATTTGGTGTATGTCTCCAAGGCCAATAAATAACAAGAAGGAAAAATAAATTTCTTTGCTAACAACAAGAAGGAGAAATAAACTTTTTTGCTCTAAAATATTTTCCAATTATCTCCACGACACTGGAGGGAAGGACTAACAAAAAAAAAAAAAAAAGAAAGAAAGAAAGAAAAAAAAAAAGAAAAGAAAAAAAAGGTGGGGCATGGTGGCTCATGCCTGTAATCCCAGCACTTTGGGAGGCCAAGGCGGGTGGATCACAAGGTCAGGAGATCGAGACCATCCTGGCCAACATGGTGAAACCTGGCTCTACTAAAAATACACAAAATTAGCCGCAGGCACCTGTACTCCCAGCTACTTGGGAGGCTGAGGCAGGAGAATGGCATGAACCCGGGAGGCAGAGCTTGCAGTGAGCCGAGATGGCGCCACTGCACTCCATCCTGGGGGACAGAGCGAGACTCCATCTCAAAAAAAAAAAAAAAAAAAAAAATTAACCATCACAGAGGAGCAGAGAAAAACCTTCTCAAAGACAGAAGTCATTGATTTATTTCCATCCCGGCACAAACCCCTTAATTCTGTAACTTGTCCAGAATGGTTTCCTGTCACTGTAGATTCTGCATCAGAACATCCTCTTATGCAAAGCTAAAAAACTCCAAACCACCTCTGTTAACTGTGCGGTGCTCCATGGTTTCACACAGTCCAGAGCTGCTTGTGTTTATCAAAAATGAAGCTGAAAACAAAATTCTTCCTTCACACAACCACTACATTCCATTGCACATTTACCAAAGACATTTACCACATTGGCATTATTTGTGCATCCATCAAGAAGTGCTGAAAAGCATTCCCCTCACACACTGCATGTGTCCTGTGAGTGGATCTTCCATTTTACTTGCCAGTTCTGGAAAACTTTGAATTTGTGTGTCGATGGAAAATTAAAGTTTAGTGGCATCTTTGCCCCACATTCACCCAACTTTTCTAAGGAACTATTTCAATGCTACTTTTCACTAGTGTCACTTTTCAGTCTTAGCCTCCTGGAGTACAACTTTATTAGAAGCCCGCAAAGCACTAGTGTTAAAATGAGAAATAGTAAACATCTGATTCTGTTGTGTTTTAACTCCATGCTTTTCTCTAATGT
Source organism: Homo sapiens (assembly GCF_000001405.40). Classification (NCBI taxonomy): domain Eukaryota; kingdom Metazoa; phylum Chordata; class Mammalia; order Primates; family Hominidae; genus Homo; species Homo sapiens. The sequence continues at coordinate 1,991,505 of NW_012132920.1, forward strand.
TTCATTGTTTTGAATTTAATTCTTTGTGCTTCCCACGTGAATGCAACTTACAGTTTGAATGTCTTCTTTCTTCACTAGCCGATGCATCTGTGCCAGTAACACATGGTGATTCTGTCCTTTCACCTTCAGTTATGCCTGTAAAACCAAATTCAAGACAGATGATCCTCAACTCACAAAGGAGTTATAGCTCATCATCAGTTGAAAATATAAGCCGAAAATGCATTTAAGGCCGGGTGCAGTGGCTCAGCCTGTAATCCCAACTCTTTGGGAGGCTGAGGCGGGTGGATCACCTGAGGTCGGGAGTTAGAGACCAGCCTGGCCAACATGGGGAAACCCTGTCTCTACTAAAAATACAAAAATTAGCCAGGCATGTTGGTGCGCACCTGTAATCCCAGCTACTGGGAAGGCTGAGGCAAGAAAATCGCTTGAACCCAAGAGGCAGAGGTCGCAGTGAGCCGAGATCATGCCATTGCACTCCAGCCTGGGTGACAAGAACAAAACACACTGTCTCAAAACATTAAATTAAATTAAATTAAATTAAAATGCATTTAATACACCTAAGCTAACATCATAGCTTAGCCTAGCTTACCTTAAACATTCTCAGAAAATTTACATTCACCTTCCATTGGGCAAAAATTCTCTCTCACAAACCCACTTTAAAGTGTTGAATATCTCATGTAATTTATTGAATACTGAAGTATGGTTTCTGCTGAATGCATATCACTTTCACACCATCATAAAGTCAAAAAATTATAAGTCAAACCATTGTATGTCAGGGATCATCTGTCCATTAGAAATAGTACTTCTGAGTAAAACGAGGACAAACTCCTTTGGTCTTCATGTCCTCAGAATCACTTTCATAATCATCTCTTGGTTTACAAGGTGCATCTTTTATTGGTTAAAAAAATTAATACAATTTATTTCACTCTCAAATTAGGTTTAATAATAAATAACACAACTTTCTTTTGTTTTCACTAATAATGCTAACATTGGCTTGATTTAAAATTAAAATTATTGCAAAAATAAGACTTTATAGAATAGATGTTCCCATTTTTCAGATGTGTGAGATTATACTATAGTTGACAAACTAACCTTAAAGAACACAGCTTGCAATGTGGTCCTTGTGTATGTGACTCGTTTGCAGCTCACAGCCTCTGCATCTTTCCATCGAGTCTGACAAAACCTGAGTTGGTCTGTAACTGCTCATTGAGACAAGTCCCCTGATGTCACATACAGATGCTGGGAGAATGTCAAGTTTCTATAGAAATTTCTAAACATTTACCCTGAATTTCTATGTTTCTGTCATTACATAGAGATGACAGAGTGTTGACAGACTTTGAGTGGTCTTTAGTAACCAATTGTTGAAAGTCTGGTTTAGCTAAACTAGTTTGTAAGTACCTTGGCAGGTGCCTTTGCTGTAGGAATTCTCAGAGTCTCTATAAACTAATGAGCATTGGAAATCTGCAGGGGGGAAACAGAGTATGCAGTATCCCCCATGATGATTCAACCCCAGATTTTATTTTTCACTGAGCATCTCACACTTAGTAGTGTATCTTTTCTATGCATTGGGCACTGGGAGACGACGTGTAGTCATCTCAACAGAGACCTGGCCTTCAGACGCCACCACTCACTGCCGCTCTGTCCAGGCGAGCATCAACTTGCACTGTTTCAGAAGCAAAAGGAAAATGAACCGCAGCCACTGAAGTCCCTCAGAACTGAGGAAAAGTTATTGACTTTCCTGATTTGTGTTCAATCTGGCTGGCCATGGGTACAGACACAGCTGGTTTCCCCATTTGTGAGCTGGACGGATTTAATTCCTGGCTGTTTGAATGATGTATCCCCTCATCAGTGAAACCAACAGAGTAGCTCAACTTAATTTTCTCTTTCTATGGCATGCCATTTATACCCATTCAATTATGCCTGTGTCAATTAAGTCAAACATTCTTACTGTCTCTATTTCTAATAAAAAGTGGTAAACACTCGAAAACCCCTTTCATAAATAGGCATGTATAAAAGCAATGTTCTTAATAAAAATGTTGGACTTAATAAAAGTATTTTAAAAAACAGTAGGAACCATAGTATAATAAAGGCCTTGGCCGGGCGTGGTGGCTCACACCTGTAATCCTAGCACGTTGGGAGGCTGAGGCGGGCAGATCACGAGATCAGGAGATGGAGACCATCCTGGCTAACACGGTGAAACCCCATCTCTACTAAAAACACAAAAAATTAGCTGGGCGTGGTGGCAGGTGCCTGTGGTCCCAGCTACTCGGGAGGCTGAGGCAGGACAATGCTGTGAACCCAGGAGGGGGAGTTTGCAGTGAACAGCGATTGTACCACTGAACTTCAGCCTGGGCGACAGAACGAGACTCCGTCTCAAAAAAAAAAAAAAAAAAAAAAAAAAAAAAAAAATATATATATATATATATATATATATATATATATATATAAAGGCCTCATTTTGCAGGTGAGGACACTGAAGATTATAGGAGAAAGAAGGGCTTCATGCAAAACCACGTTCCTGATTGTTGGCAGAACCAAGCCGACAACCTGGAACTCAAGTTTCTCTACTTATAGTAGACGCTCAAAGAATTATAATACTTTATAACAACGTCATAATGATTTGACGTTTCTAAGCTGGTCATGTTTTCTTTCATGTGTACTTCTCCCCTCTCAACAATTACCGTGCCCTTGGCAATTTAATAAAGCAGGATAATATTCAACTCAGTGACCTACAGCTTGACAAGCATCTCCTGCTCCCAGAAAACAGAAGGTGTTGCTGTCAAACTAATACTAAATAATAATTTTCTGTAGTCCTGGAGCCTCTGGACTTCCCAATTACACGGCCAATAAACCCCCTCATTGTCTGAGCCAGTCTGAGCTGGGCAGCCTGACTGAAGTCTGGAACATCCTAACTGGCACAAAGGCCCTTAAGATGACCCCAAGCCACCTGTCTGGCTTTCTCTCTTGTCACTTCCTTCTACATCCTCTCTGCAATAACCAAATTAGATTACTCACCATTCTCCACACTGCCTTGTGATTTTCTTTCTTTTTTTTTTTTTTTGATGAAGTTTTATTCTTGTTGCCCAGGCTGGAGTGCAGTGGTGTGATCTCAGCTCACTGCAATCTCTGCCTCCTGGGTTCAAGTGATTCTCCTGCCTCAGCCTCCCAAGTAGCTGGAATTACAGGTGCCCAGCATCATGCCCAGCTAATTTCTGTATTTTTAGGAGAGACAGGGTTTCACCATGTGGGCCAGGCTAGTCTCCAACTCCTGACTTCCGGCGATCCACCTGCCTCGGCCTCCCAAAGTGGATTTTCTTTTTTTACCCATGCACTTGCCCAAGCTGACTTTCTGGCTCAAACCTTTCCCCTGGCCTTGCATCCTCTCTATCCATCTGCCCAAACCTCCCTCACTCTCCAAAGTCTCATTTCAAATGTTGCCTTTCCCTGAAGCTTCTCCCGGAATGACCCATCTCTCCCTCCTCATTCTGATCATTTCCTCTTTGAATTCCCGTAGTGTTAGGTATGCCCTCCTCTTCCAGCACTGAATCCAGCCTTGCCTCGCATTAGAGTCATTTGTACACCTGACCTTAATCCCCCTGAGGGCAGGGATAGTTTGTGTTTATCCCAAAGTCCTGAAACAACTAGTACAGAACCTGAGACACAGGAAGGCCCCAGAATTGCCTGCCGAATAGAACAGTGATAGTGCTGAATTTGGTTCCTCCTTTAACCTGTGTGACCCCAGACGTTTGTTTTCTATGAAGCCTCAAAACATGGTTATGTTTCCTAATTTACAACGAACACATGGAAACCCATGTTTTGAAAACGGGGGTGGGGAGGATGAACTGAAGGCAGCCTCTTCAGCCAAGTTCCAAAGGCCAGGTGGCCCACTGTGAACCTTGTTTAACCACACAGAACATATGAATAGCTACAACAAGGGATCTAACAGTTACCAGAATGTTTTCAGAAAGGTGACTTCAGAAGTGCCAAGCTTCAGGAAGACCTGGACTGAGAAGGGATCAGACAACTTTAGGAAAGCAGGTACCAAACAGCCCTTTTACAGTTTACACACAGGCCTTGGTGTCAGAAAAATACTGGTTTGAGTACTGGTTATGCATCAGAGATGCCACTCTGGACAAGCTCCTTATGCTCTCTGGGACTCTGCTTTCTCATCTAAAAAATGGGGATCACCTGAGGTCAGGAGTTTGAGACCAGCCTGGCCAACATGGCAAAACCCCATGCCTGCTAAAAATACAAAAATTAGATGGGTGTGGTGGCTCGCACCTGTACTTGCAGCTACTTGGGAAGCAGAGGCAGGAGAATTGCTTGAACTTGGGAGGCAGAGGTTGCAGTGAGCTGAGATCGCACCACTGCACTCCAGCCTGGGCAACAGAGTGAGACTCTGTCTCAAAAAACGGGGCGGGGGGGGGGTGGATAATAATAGTGCCTACCTCAAGAGGTTGCTGTGAACACCAGAAGAAGCAATACACACCAAGTGCCTACAGATAGTAAGCACTTGGTAAAAATGTAACTGCCATTAACAATAAATATGATGCTCACAGGGTCAGTGGAAAAAGTAGTGGAAAGTAGGAGTGGTGGGAACAGAATAGGAGGGAACAAAGCACCTCTGAGTAGACCTTTCTGTATAGCTCCGACTCTTATTATGTTTCACCGTAATAATTCATTAAAACTAGGATAGGAAGGCTGAGGGTGTTTTTGGAATACAAACACTAATGAACCAAACTGCATTATAAATAGTGGCCACACTGAAAGGGATGAAGAAGAAAATAACTAATTTTGGAAAACAGTATTTTGACTGGATACTGTAAGGCAAGCTTGTCCAACCTGCAGCCCAGGATGGCTTTGCATGTGGCCCAAAACCAATTAGTAAACTTTCTTAAAACATTATGAAATTTTTTTGTGATTTTTTTTTTTAGCTCATCAGCTATTGTTAGTGTTAGTGTATTTTTATGTGTGGCCCAAGACAATTCTTCTTTTTCCAGTGTGACCCAGGGAAGCCAAAAGTTTGGCCACCCCTGCTGTAAGGCTTAGGACAAAAATATTTCTCCACAAACAATGGACTCCAGTTAATCAATCTGTCACAGGCATATGGAACTACTTTATGATACTAGGGTCAAACAAATAAGTGAATAAAGTGTACATAACAAGAGCCACACTTCCCACTGTTGAAAAGGCTAAAAAGAAGGAAGAGGGGGAGGCTAGGATGAAATCTGTGCTTGGATTAAAGCGGAAACATTCGTTATCAACTCATGTTTATTTTAATATGTATACAGACAGATACAGAAACAGATGTAGATGTGTGTATATGTGTGGTTAGTATGCATGTTTTATTTCCTAATCCTATCCACTGGGAGGACCTACAAAAAATTTACAAATTTTTTATATGACACTCCAATAGAAATCGGCATGCCTAGTACCACATCCTGGTTTCTAACAGCATTCTCCAATATCAGAACCAGGGCTCCTTGAAGTAATGGCTGATTCTGGGTCAGGGTAGAGAAAACACAAGATGAGCCTTGTAGTGCCAGAGTGTATTGTAGTGCCAGAAAATAGACACACTCAAAAAAGGGTAGTGGCATAACAAGAGGACACGGGGCGATCGGAAGATGCGGGGCAAAAAGTTCCAGGCAGAGGAAAAAATTTCCAAGTTTGACAGAGGGCAAAAATTTCCAGCCACATGAAAAATAATCAAACCTTTGACTTATGTTCAGAGCTCTCAGATATTGCCATCATTAAAGGAACAGAAAAAAATGTTGGGAAAGGAAGTTCTACTGAAAAGCTACCAAGTTTGAATGTCACTTCACTCATGAATCATGATGAGAAAGTCCATTATGAAGTACATCCATATTGTGTAAAGAGAAAACTTGAAACTTTCTTTCTTTCTGTTTGTTTGTTTGTTTGTTTTTGAGACAGAGCCTCACTCTGTTGCGCAGGCTGGAGTACAGTGAAACAATTTTGGCTCACTGCAACCTCCACCTCCCGAGTTCTAGAGATTCTCCTGCCTCAGCCTCCTGAGTAACTGGGATTACAGGCACCCACCACCACACCTGGGTAATTTTTGTGTGTTTTTTTTTTTAGTACAGATGAGGTTTCATCATTTTGGCCAGGCTCGTCTCCAACTCCTAACCTCAGGTGATCTTCCTGCCTCAGCCTCCCAAAGTGCTGGGGTTATAGGCATAAGCCATCTCACCTAGCTGATTTATTTCTATTATAGGTTGAATTACATACATTTCTGATGCTATGCCACTGCACTCCACTGCACTCCATAACCTTAAAAAAATGGCAATTTCATATGTATTAGCCTAACACATTACCTAGGGTCTCCAGTGCCATGTTCAGTAGATACAGCGATAGAAGGTACCCTTGTCTATGTCCTAACTTTGACGAAAAGCACTTCTAAAATTTTACTATTAAGTATGATAATTGCTTTACATTAAGGAAGATAGGGCCGGGTGTGGTGGCGCACAGCTGTAACCTCAGCACTTTGGAAGGCTGTGGGGAGGATTGCTTGAGCTGGGGAGGTGGAGGTTGCAGTGAGCCAAGATGTTGACACTACACCCCAGCCTGGGTGACAGTGAGACCTTGTCTTAAAAAAAAAGGAAGCTAGCTTGCTAATAGTGCATTATCTGATGTTGACTCTGCCCTTGCATTATTGTAATAAAACCTAATTCACCATGATGCATTATTTGTGTGTGTGTACATTGCTGTATTCAACTTGGTATTATTTTACTTAAAGTTTTGGAATTCATGTTCCTAAAAGTTAATAATAGTTAACATCTATTTGGTTTTCTATGTTCTGGGTCTTGTTAAGTTACTTTCCTTGAATTATTTCATTTCATCCTAGAAGGCTTATTGTAAAGGTTATTTCCCCCTTTATCAATGAGGAAGTGAAGGCCCAGTGAAGGCAAGCCATTTTCCCTAAGGTCACAGGGAGGATAAGTAGTGGCAGCAGGAATACAAATCCGGATTTCCTGGCTCCAGAGGCCAAGCACTAAGCACTGCCCTGTGCCCTCTCCCTGTGACAAAGACTCGTCATTCAGACTGTTCCATCGTGAACTTTCCTTGGACATCCTTTTGTGCCAAGCTTTGTACCAAGATTATATTATTCTTGATAGATAATTAAATAGCTCTTTTTCTTTTATTAAAAAAACTTGTCAAACTTTTATAAAGACCTATTTAATCCTATCACCTTTGCTAGCCTGACGTTGACAGTTTTGCAGTGGCCTACAGGTTTTACAGCATGTGCAAGCTCCTGTCCTGGGGATACTGGGAAGGTATACATCCCATAAAGCCAGGGATACAGACCACAGAGCAGCAGCAGACTCCCCCACCCTCCAGCACCCTTGGTTGTTTTTTGTTTTGTTTTATTTTGTTCTGTTTTTTTGAGATGAAGTCTCGCTCTTTTCGCCCAGGCTGGAGTGTAGTGGTGTGATCTCAGCTCACCGCAACCTCTGCCTCCCAGGTTCAAGGGATTCTCCTGCCTCAGCCTCCCAAGTAGCTGGGATTACAGGTGCCCGCCACCACACCCGGCTAATTTTTTTTTGTATTTTTAGTAGAGACGGCGTTTCACCGTGTTAGCCAGGATGGTCTTGATCTCCTGACCTCGTGATCTGCCCACCTCGGCCTCCCAAAGTGCTGGGATTAAAGGCATGAGCCACTGCACCTGGCCAGCATGCTTTCAAGTACTGGGGTACACCTAAGCTCTCAGCTTCTAGCTAGGAGTCATTTGGTACCCCTTTATCCCAAAAGACCTGTCACTGTCTTTGGTTTTCAAAGCCCAGCAGGCTCCAGGCTCTTCAGCCTCCAACCACTTTGCATTTCTTTACTGCTTTTCATTCATGAAGGTGATTAACTTATTTTTCAGCCTGGGCGTGTCTTTTTTATTTACTTAATTTTTTATTTTTATTTTTTGAGATGGAGTCTCACTCTGTCATCCAGGCTGGAATGCAGTGGTGAGATCTCCGTTCACTGCAACCTCTGCCTCTTGGGTTCAAGTGATTCCCCTGCCTCAGCCTCCTGAGTAGGTGTGACTACAGGTGTGTGCCACTATGCCTGGCTAATTTTTGTATTTTTAGTAAACACCGGTTTTCACCATGTTGGCCAGGCTGGTCTTGAGCTCCTGACCTCAGGTGATCAGCCTACCTCGGCCTCCCAAAGTGCTGGGATAACAGGCGTAAGCCACCGCACCTGGCCTTTATTTACTTTATATATCTCACCTATTACTGCTGCAGTTTGCAGAAGAGAGGATGCCCTCAACCCTAACTTCTCCACACCATCCCAAAGGGGAAGTCTGCTCCACGTCATCAGTGTTCTTGTTTTTAAAGACCATATGTCAACATGCCAGATTATAGCAAAAGGATGTCGAGGAAGCAATATGAAAGCAAGCCTCAGAGTCCTGGAGAGAAGGTGACAGAGCTGCCTTTTGAAGGTGGTCACTCCCTCAGATTCTGCCCTTCCTGCCTTGTTCCTCCAGTTGTCAGATTTGCTGTTGGGGCCCTCATGGGGGAGGGGTGGGGGCTGGACTGAGAGGGAGATGGAGAAGCTGCCAGGGGCCATTTGGATCCAGAATTGCAGCAGTTCCAGCCAGGTCCGGAGGTGGTTGCTGTCCCCCAGCCCCCAAGGGAATGGTACTGATTCCAGAACGTGGCGAGAACTCCCTGGCCAGGAGAAGGAGGTGCTTGCTCCCTTGAATCACCTGAGCCCAGGCTGGAAGGCCCAAGGGGGACGATGAGGCCAGCTCACTCCAGCTCCATCCCCTCCCTTTAACCCTGAGCTAGTCACCATCCCAGATTCCAGGCCCTTTTCCTAAGAGCCATCCCAGCAAAGTCTGCAGAGAGCAGCACTCCCTCATGCCAGCTCACCCTGCACTGTCCTTTCTTTCAGCAACCCCATGGGTATGAACTTGAGATGATTCATTTTCCTAAAAGCCTCTTTGGGCTGAGGGAATGTGTGGGTGGCTCGGCGAGGTTTGGAGTGGGGGCCACCTCTTCTCAGAGCTGCTGTGAGGGCCAGGGCCTCCTTCCCTGGAGGTCGTCTGAGCCTGGGAAGCGGCGCCGAATGGCACTGGCTTTGCAGGCAGCCTAAGTCATCCCCAGCGGCCTGGGAGGCTGGGGGTGCACCGGCTCCCACTCCCGAGAGGGCCGAGGCTCCTTCCTCACCTAAGAGGTGACTGTCTTGAAGAGTGGACACAGAGGAGCCAGCATCCTGGACGGTGAAGGCAGCCAGGAGAAAATCTGCAGCTCAGTCCGAGACAGACGTCTCCTGCAACACAGCTATTGTAGAGACGGGGAAACAAGGCTGAGAGGGAAGGGGGCTTGCCCAAATCACCAGACCTGGAATGTTTTGAGCTATGGGCGTGGATCTCCCAGGAAACGTGTTTTATGGCACCACCGCCTCTGGTCACCCACCCCGAGGTGTGGCGGGCCTGGACAGCCAGCTTGACTGAGGGCCAGGCTGGTGAAGTCAAAACTACCACTCAGGAAGAAGACCTAGCCCTTCTCCAGACAGAGTTCAAATGTGAGGGCTGCCTTCTTTGGGCCTCAGTTTCCCCACCTGAATTCCAAGGACCCTTCTAACTCCCACACTCTGGGCCAAGCCCCAGTCAGCCTAGAGGACCAGGGCTACATCTTCCTTGGACAGAGACCCAGCATAGGGGCAACAGGAGGTAGGGGTGGGGGTAGGCAAGGTTCCTGTAGGGAGGTGGAGCTGCCATCAGAGATGGTGTCTGCAGGCAGTGGGTGTATCGTGGCTATGCTACTACTTCCTGGGTGACCCCATGACATTTCTTTCCCCACTCTGACCTCAGTTTCCCTATCTGTTCCATGGAGATAAGATGCCTGCCTACATATTTGGGGACTGGGATGTGTGTGGGGGCCAGTTGCAGTGTTTCTTGGTGTGGTCCTGGGGCAGCCTGCACCACCCCATAGAGTTTGCTGGGCCCCACCCTAGGCTCACAGGACCAGAATCTCTGGGAATGAAGCCTGGGAATTTGCATTTCCACAGGCATCCGGCAGATTCTGACATGATTGAAAAAGCACTAATAGTATATGGCAAGCTCTTTATAAAAGGTAAATTCATAGCTGCCTTTTACTAAACATAAATCTCACCTTCCCTTCCTCAGTTAAGGACACACACCCCAGTTGAAAATCACTGTGCCTTTCCAGATGCAGAATCTGACCTTTCCAATAGGATTCTGTTAACTGTTACTTTCTGTAGTTTGTATTCCAAAACAAGGGGAATATCTTTCCATTTTTTCAATATAAATGTTTAGGTCAAATATGCTTTTTCAAACTGGACACACACTCACACAGTTTAGGATTTCAGCTATGGCTTCCTCTCAAATTATTAGCCCGTTTCTGCCAGGGAGCAGTTTTTCCCAGACAAGACCCTGGACAGAGGCTGGTGGGGCCCCCTCCTCATCAGAATCACTAGATCATGACTGACCCCTAGAGGTGGCTTTTCTGCTTAACAGTCAGCCCATGGGCTGGGATGGGATCCCCAAAGCTGTGGCAAAATCTTCCACCCATCCTGGGCCCCCCTGCCGTCTGTGGGGAAAGGCCTGTCCCTTGTCTTCTGGGCCCAGCCGGCCTCACACTCATTCAGCGGACTGGAAAGTCGAAGCATGTGCTGTGCTTGGCTGGGCTCTGCTGTGCCCCTTTTTGGGGTGAGGCAGAGTGTATTCCAGCCCCCAGCATCCCTGCCGTTTATTCCCACCCCTCATCCCCACCCCCATACACACTCACAAGTACAAACACAAGCACAGTCACGGGCACACACCACCCTGGACAGCACCATTTCCAGCCTCAGCGGGGCAGTCTCCTTACAGGGAAGTTAATGAGGCACTAAAGAAGGCTCAGGGGACAGGGAGAACCTCTGTCAAAAAGAGGTTCCTAGACCTGGTTCTGCCTCTGACTTGCTGGGGGTCCTTGAGAAAGCTGCTTCCCCTTTTTGGCCTGTTTCCTTAGCTGAGAAATGGGGGGTCGGCCAAATGGTCTAAGGTTCTGGGAACCCCTAAGTCAGAGCCCATAGCTGGTGGTCAAGATGAGGGAGAGGCCCTCAGGGTCAGCCGAATGCCAGAGAGGCAGGACAGGCCCAAAGGTGAGTAACCTGAGCACATCAGGTGGGTTCAGAACAGGTGCATGAGCCCCACAGCCTGCACAGCAGCTCTGAACTTGGGAGCCCACTTGCACCAGCCCAGTGGGACTTCAGAGATGTGGGGTCCAGCCTCTCCTACTATTGCAGGGCTAGGGGCTGGGAGCTGCAGATTCTGACCCCACAGCTGCCTTAGACATGCCAGATGGGCTGGGGAAAGACACACCCCTCTCTATGAAATGAGCACTCAGTCCAAATAGGTAAACTAAAGAAGGGCTGTGGGATGCACCCAGCTGTAGCCTGGGGCTACAGACTGGCTTCCAGGGTACTCAAGCAGCTGGCCTCTTGGGTAGCAGCCCCGGGTATGAGAGGCAGGACTCAGAATCTAGGCCAAGCCTCCACAGGAATCCCCTCTGGAGAGCCCGGGCACTCTGCAGGAAGGGCAGGAGGCAGCAGGTGCACCAGGAGCATGTTCCACAAGGTGCCCAATATTGCATCTGCTCAGATAGGCAGCGAGTTGGAATGTGGATGCAGTAGGCAGGGTGGCAGCTGCTCCCTACGGCCAGGAGTCCAGCCCAGCACCCACCTGAGTCCACCTCAGTCCTGCTCAACTGGGTCATCCGTGCTCTGGGCCCTCTGGTCCCACCCACAGAGGGAGGGCTTTGGAGCGACCAGGTGAGCTGGCCATTGTGGGAGGATGTAAAAACTCCTGAGCCTGGCGAGCCAGGCAGCCCCTTGCCAGCATCCCCACACCCACCTCTCCAGCCCCCCGCATTCCCTGATCCTCCCATCCACTCCCCTGACCCAGCAGTTTCCTCTGCTCACTCTTTTCCTGCTCCCAGGCTCGCCTGGTCATGTGTCCTTCACTCTCCTCTGAGTCTCCCTCTTTCCAAGCTGCCTCCACTCTACTTGACACACTCTCCCTTAAGACACCAGAGTACACAAGCGCAAGTCCCTGCACCTCACCTTTACTCCCAGACATGGGAGGGAGATGACATGAAGACCCAAACGCCACTTAGCAGGAGATCTGGGGTATGCAGAGGGGCAGATCGGAGGCTGTGGAAGCTCCAGGGGCTCCCTGCAGGAGGCCGCATGTAAGCTGGCTATTGAATGTGGCTCTGAGCTGAGACCTCTCCTTGAAGCTCCAGACCAGGAGCCAGCTGCTAGCTGGACCCCTCCATTTGGTGCCTCAGAGAAACCTTGCACTCCATAGATCTGACTCTGAACCCCGAATATCCCATCTCAGCCCTGTCTCTTCATAGGGAAAGCACCACCTCTGACCCAGTTCTGCACCAAACCCACACTTGAGTGATGGGGCTCCTGCCCTGCACTGTGAGCACTCTGGATAAGCCAGAGCTGAGGGGGAAAGAGCTCTGAATGCCAAGCCAAAACATGAGTTTCAACTCCACCTCCAGCTCTGAGAGCTGTGGGTAGGGAAGGGCCCAAGTCCAGTTTGCTGTAGAAAGACCAGTCTGCCACTGTATGGCACATGGATGGCAGGGGCAGGGTGCAGGTGGAGAGAACAGAAGGTGGGCAGGGCGGGGGAGGCAGGGACATGGCTGTAGCCGTGGAGATGGGAGGACAGACAGGACTTGGTGGCCACTTGGGTGAACCAAGGGAGGGGTCAGGAAGAGACACCCAGTTTTGTATCAGATGTGTAGAGCGTGGGATGCTGTTCATTGATTGAGGGAGGAGGAGGAGGAAGAGGTATGGCATGGGAGGAGGTAGCTGAGCTCTGTCATGAATGTCATTTGAAGTCCCCAGGGAGAGCCAGGCCGGCCAGCCCCTTCACTGCTTCAGCCAGCTCTCAGGGTGTCTGTGCTCCCTGGCCCTCTCAGCTCCTGCTTCATAGCTGTCAGCTGCAGTGGGAGACAGCTGCACAAGGACCAAGCAGGTCTGTGTGTTTACGCAGGGTTCTGCCGCATGGCCCTGCCGAGCAGAAGCTGATGGACGACCTTCTGAACAAAACCTGTTACAACAACCTGATCCGCCCAGCCACCAGCTCCTCACAGCTCATCTCCATCGAGATGGAGCTCTCCCTGGCCCAGTGCATCAGTGTGGTAGGTGCAGAGGGCACCTGTGGCTCAGGCTCAGGCGAAGAGGCAGCTCATGCCCAAGCCCAAAGCAATCAATGTCCAGAGGAATGAAATGACTAGAGTTGACTTAGACTCACCAATACATGGCGGGGAGGCTGGAGGAGGGTCCATGAGGTTTATAGGTGTCCAATATTTAATGAGGTCATGGTTTTGTTAACAAAGAAGAAATGAGGGTGGGAGCAGGATCACCACTGGCTAGGCAGCCAATGGGCCTGCAGAGACTCTGCTCAGCTGAGTCTCCAGCACGACCATGAGCTTCTCCTCCTCATCCTCCCAGCCCCACCCTACTCTCTCCCCCAGCTTGCTCAACAGGTGACCTTACAGGCTCCCTACTCTTTGCGAGGAATAAGAACCAGACTGCGAGAACCGATGGGTACAGAGGCCCAGGTGTAGGGGCAGGACCACAGGCAGTGAAGCGTCTACTGACCCAGGCGGGTGAGGGTCTGGAGAGTGGGCATGGCTGCTGCAGGCATGGAAAGGAGGCGCAGATGGCGGCACTCCCAGGGCCCATCGTCAGGGTCTCCATATGTGGACGTGTGCAGAGGTGGGGGTGCTGAGCGAGGAGGTGCATGGAGTTTCTCATCTTCTCTCTACTGCCTCTGAGTTGGAGATGTCAGAGGGAGCCATGGCCCACTGTAAAGTAACACAATGTCCCCACCCACAGGGTTAGAACCTCTCCTCTGGAAGCAGCTCTGAGGGGAACAGTCACATGTAGAGAGTGCAGGGCGCTGTGTCCAGCCGGGGGAAGGAGGTCACCAAGCAGGTTGACCCTCCCCTGGCCAGGTGGCTGCCTTCTGACACACCAGCCTCTCTCTCTAGCATGGTGGCCCCCACACACCCAGCCTGTGAAACCTACAGCCCTCAAGAAGGTTTTGGCCGAATTAATGAGTAGCTCCCTCTCCCAGGAGGAAGCACAGCTGAAGGATGCGGAGGGCAGTAGAGTTGTGTGTGCTCCGCCCCCTTTCTCCACAGTCGGACGGGAAAGAAGGGGGCTTTCAACCAGGCTCACCCAGGCTGGGGTCTGAGTGTCACTGTCCAGCTATTGGCTTCTTGCTTAACGGGTGAGCCCAGCAGCTCCCGTGCAGCTGCCGCCCTAGTTAGGGTGAACCGGCAGGCGAGTTGCATTTCTGAAAGCCCGGGAAGACAGTAAATATTAGGCTGTGGGCTGCTGGGCCAGGAAGGGGTGTTTATTTTTCAGGGTTTGTTTATCTATTGACTTGATGAGGGAGGGTTATACGTACAACCAGTTAAAAGATGGAAATTTTGAGAGAGTAGGCAGGGATTTAGTGCTGGGTAAGGCAAGAAGGCTTGTCAAAGCAGCTCTTCTGGGGAGGCCAGAATCCTGTACCAATGTCCTCAGCACGTTCTTCAGCTGCTGGGGAGTGCCAGACAGGATGAAAGCGTAGGAGAACTTTCTGGATGATAGAAATACTCTATATCTTCAAAGGAGGTGGGTTACATGGGTAATGCATTTGTTGAAACTGATCAAAATGGAAACCAGATCTGTGCATTTCACTGAATATAAACTATACCTCAAATTAAATACATTTCTTAAAAGACAGATGGGCCGGATGCAATGGCTCACGTCTGTAATCCCAGCACTTTGGGAGGCTGAGGCAGGTAGCTCACCTGAGTCAGGAGCTCGAGACCAGCCTGGAAAATGTGGTGAAATCCTGTCTCTATTTAAAAAATAAAAATTAGCCAGGCATGGTGGCACACGCCTGTAATCCCAGCTACTCGGGAAGCTGAGGCAGGAGAATTGCTTGAACCCAGGAGGCAGAGGTTACAGTGAGCAGAGATCATGCCACTGCACTAGAGCCTGGGCAACAGACCAAGACTCCATCTCAAAAAAAAAAAAAAAAAAGAGAGAGAGACAGATGAAGGTTTTCAACTTTCACTAAAGGCAGAGGAGCTTGTTACAGATTCGCCTCCCCATAGGAACAGTTAGAAAAACTGGACAAAAATGTGCCCCACCACCAAAAACAATTGTTGGAAGGTAATTGGAGACCTCAGCCAGCACTTGAGTGACCAGGCCTGGGAGGTGATCCTGACAGTCTGTAGTGCTTTTCCCACATTTGGTGATCGGTCAACAGTAGAGGGCTAAGAGGCTAAGAAACTGAATATGAAGTGGTAGTTAAGGGGCTGGAGAGCCTAGCTGAATGTTGGCACTCTCACAGGGCTGAAATGACCTAATGAGAATTTGGGTCCCAGGAAGGAGATGGGACATTGGTGGGGACCCTGGAAGGGCCACCCCTAGGAGTCCAAATGAATAAAATATAGACCAGCCGTCACAAAACCTAAAACCTGCTTTGAACTAGCTTAGTCACAAACTAGATGAAGGCGATCTGCCCTTACTCCAATTGTGTGCCATAAAGTCAAAGTCAATACTCTCTGGAGGCAGATAAAACTTTACTAGGAATGCCATAAGACAACATCAGACTAAATGAGAAAGACCAAGAAAAAAACTAATAGAAACATACATGTAAGGAAGAAACTTTTTTTTTTTTTTTGAGACAGAGTCTCACTCTGTCACCCAGGCTTGAGTGCAGTGGCACGATCTCAGCTCACTGCAACCTCTGCCTCCCAGGTTCAAGCGATTCTCCTGCCTCAGCCTCCCAAGTAGTTGGGATTACAGGCATGTGCCACCATGCCCGGCTAATTTTTGTATTGGCCAGGCTGGCCTTGAACTCCTGACCTCAGGTCATCCATTCACCTCAGCCTCCCAAATTGCTGGGATTACAGGCATGAGCCACCGTGCCTGGCCAGTATTTTGCCAAAATTTAAAATAAATAAATTTTCTTTTTTTTTTTTTCAGGTTTGTGCTCAGACTCTATTCTAAACAGTCACATGGCAGCTTACTCTTCTCCAGGCCTTGCTGCCGGCTTTTACATGTTTATTATATTTGTGTTCTTGTCATCTGCTTGGTAGATGGCAGCTTCCAGGTGCTCCTAAGGGGCCAGGAAAGAGAGTGAGAAGGCACCGAGTTTGCCAGGTCGTCCCCCTCAGGGCCCCACCCTCATCAACTCCCTCAGCTGGGTCTCCTGCAACTATTGGTGGGCCATCTCAGCCACCGCTTCGCCCTGAGCTTCCTGCTGCTGCAGCTGGGCAGTGCCTCCTTCCCAGAGGCCAGCTGCTGATAGGCGGCCACGTACTGCTGCAGGTGACCCCGGTAGTGGTCTTGCTGCTGCTGCAGACTCTGAGCCTCTTGGCTCTTCAGCTCCACCTGCAGGATAGGCGTCAGGGTAGGTAGTCGCTGGCTTCCAGATTCTGGGCCCATAAACAGGGTGGCAAGGGCACTGCGGGGCTCTGTCGCCTGCTCAGGCCCCTGGCCCTGGCCCCTTCCTCCAGGCCTAAGTGACTGCCTCCCTTGCCTAGAGGCCCATGCCTCCCTCCCCAGCCTCAAATCTCACACCCTTCTTCCCACCATTTAAACTGTAGGCCGCAGACTGGTGGAAAAGCAGAGGGAGCCAACCACCATCTGCTAAGTTGTGGTGAGGTCGTTCTGTATGATCTCCAGGGTTTGCACACACCTCTGCCTGCTCCCCCCAAGAGCTCCGCCTTCTGCCCCAGCTTCCCCAGCCTCTCCTCCAGCTCCTGCAGCCTCACCTCCTGTTCCTGCATCTTCTCCTCCTGCTGCCACAGCCTCACTTCCTGCTCCCGCATCTTCTCCTCCTGCCTCTGCATCTTCTCCTCCTGTTCCTGCATCTTCTCCTCCTGTTCCCACATCTTCTCCTCCTGCCTCCACATCTTCTCCTCCTGCTCCCATATCTTCTCTTCCTGCTTGAGCAGCTTCTCCTGCCTCCACGTCTTCTCCTCCTGCTCCTGGATCTTCTCCTCCTGCCTCTGTATCTTCTCCTCCTGCTCCTGCATCTTTTCCTCCTCCTCCTGCATTTTCTCCTCCACCTCCCGCAGCTTCTCCTCCTGATCTTGCATCATCTCCTCCAGCTCCCGTATCTTCTCCTCCTGCCTCCACATCTCCTCCTCCTGCTCCCGTATCTTCTCATCCTGCTCGCGCATCTTCTTCTCCTGCCTCCACATCTTCTCCTGCCTCTTCTCCTCCTGCTCCCGTATCTTCTCCTCCTGCCTCCACATCTCCTCCTCCTGCTCCTGTATCTTCTCATCCTGCTCCCGTATCTTCTCCTCCTGCCTCCACATCTTCTCCTCCTGCTCCCGTATCTTCTCTTCCTGCTCCCGTATCTTCTCCTCCTGCCTCCACATCTTGTCCTCCTGCTCCCGTATCTTCTCTTCCTGCTCATGCATCTTCTCCTCCTGCCTCCACATCTTCTCCTCCTGCTCCCTTATCTTCAGCTCCTGCTCACACATCTTCTCTTCCTGCTCCTGTATCTTCTCCTCCTGCCTCCACATCTTCTCCTCTTGTTGCTGGTTCAGGAGGTTCCACAACTCGTTCTCTTCCACCTGGGCTTGGAGCTTTGCTGACACACTCTGTAGCTCCTTACCCAGGCGGTCAGCCTCCACCTGCAGCTGCTGCTGGAATAGTGAAAGTGTTGGTTCAAACCTCAGAAGGAAACAGACTCATGAGCTAGCCATATAAATGTAATCTATAAAATAATGGTTTTCATCTATGATCCTTTGAAAAATATTTTTTTAAGCCCAAACTCTGAGATTCTGATTCCCCAGGCAGGGCCCCAATTTGTATATTTTTAGCACACTCCAGAGGATTCTATGGTGGGACCAGAACAAGGACCCAAATTTTCCAGCTCTTGGCTGGAGCCTCCCCACACCCTACATGATCCCTAGACCATGGCCCCAGCCGGATGGGGCTCCCACAACCCCCGGGGCTGCAGCTGCTCGCCTGTGGCAGCAGGAGCTGGGCCCTTTCCAGCTTCCTTTTAAGGTCCTTTACGTTGAGCTGGATCTCAGACTTTTCAGATTCTACAAGTCGAAGTTTTTCTTGTAGTTCGGCATTTTTCTCCTTCAACTCCTCATCGGTTATGCTGTGGCCAGAGGCAGTAGAGAAAGGAATGAACGAAGAATAGAAAGGACCGCTTTGGTGATCAACCCTCTACTTTCA
Source organism: Homo sapiens (assembly GCF_000001405.40). NCBI lineage: Eukaryota > Metazoa > Chordata > Mammalia > Primates > Hominidae > Homo > Homo sapiens. The sequence continues at coordinate 2,009,742 of NW_012132920.1, forward strand.
CCACACAACCACAGAACGGTGGCATTGGAAAGGACCCCAGGAATTAAAAGTCACAGGTGGCAGGCCAGAGAGAAGACATGAGTTGCCTGAGGCTTCCCCATGAGTCAGTGGCACCGCCGGCACTAGAGCTTCCCTGTGCACACATGAAAACCTGTAGAAGCCTCTCACCATGCTCACCTGTACCCCCCACCTCCCAGCACACCACCCACTCTAAGGGCCCCCAGACCTCCCATTCCACCTTCCCCCATCCTACGTGTTCCTGTACAGTTCCAGACTCGGAGCGTCCCTCTCCTTTGTTAATTTCTCGATGTACTGCAAATAGAGAAAGGTTAAGTCAGGATAGAGCAGGCAGAGGAGTAGCTGGACGACCAGAACAACAGCTACACTGATACTCCACAGTAACACTCCCTCACTCTCAATCACACCTGACATGTTCTCAAGGCATTTCCAAGCCCATGGTCTCATTTGTTTTTTCTTTGTTTTCTCTTTCTTTCTTTCTTCTTTCTTTCTTTCTTTCTTTCTTTCCTTCCTTCTTCCTTCTTTCTTTCTTCCCTTTATTTCCTTTCTCCCTTGCTTCCCGTGCTTCCCTTGCTTTCTTGCTTTCTTGCTTTTCTTGCTTTCTTGCTTTTTCTTTCTTGCAGAGTTTGGCTCTTGTTGCCCTGGCTGGAGTGCAATGGTGCAATCTCGGCTCACCACAACCTCCACCTCCTGGATTCAAGCAATTCTCCTGCCTCAGAGTCCTGAGTAGCTGGGATTATAGGCATGTGCCACCACACCCAGCTAATTTTGTCTTTTTAGTAGAGACGGGGTTTCTCCATGTTGATCAGTCTAGTCTTGAACTGACTGATCCTGACTTATCCTTAGCCTAAAAAGAAAAATTTAAAATTACTCATTAAAAAAATGAATGATTTCCAGCAGAAAATGGGCAATGGAGAAACCGGCACTTCCCACAAGAATAAAAATGGCCAATGAGCAAACGAAAAAGATTCAAAAGCACTAGAAATCAAAGAAATGTAATGAAAACAATGAGATTTTCTGCTTAAAGACCAGCAAAGATGACAAATGGAAGGGGGAACCTGGAGCTCTGTCCCTGTTGGTGGGAGCATAAACTGAACCAATTTTCCTACAGGATAATTTGAACATTTCTTTTAAAAATCCTAAAACAGTTTTACATTATTTTCCTCTAGAAATTCTACTTCTATGAATTCAGTGCAAAAATCCTTACTGGAGTCCATTAAAATGTATATAGAGGAAATTCACCTCTGGGGTGGCAATGATTCACTTAACATAATCCAGCTATTAAAAATGATGATGCCAGGATATACTTCTGCCCTAGAAACATGTTTAAAATATAATAAGTGACAAAAGCCCATTTACTATGATTGTACTTTTATTTTTTTTAACAGTCACAAATCAGCTTTATTTAACTTTTCCAAAATATTTCTCAGGCCATTCTCTTTCAGACATTCAAAAAGAAAAAGTTTCTAACTTTAAAATAATTAAATGACAAATGGTAAAAGCTGCTAGTTATCTCCCAGTGGCTGTTCCCATGGTGGTAGGGCCTTAGATGTGTGGCCATTTGCAATGGACCCAGCATTTCTAGCTTGCAGCCAGGCACAGCCAATAGCAGGAGAGAGCGAGGTGTGTTCCTCCCCTCTCTTGTCTTCCAATCCTTTCCCTGTTCTGCTCATCTGGAATGTGATACTGGTAGAGGCCAGTTATTCGTGGCAAGCAACACGTTTACAGGGATTTTCCTGGGAATTTCAGATACAATGTCTGTATTAGTTAAGATTAGGTTTTGCGGCAATAACAGAAAACCCTCCAAAATGATAAATTAAAGAACATGGAAGTTTATTTTTGTCTCATAGGGATGTCTCAGAAGTGGTTCATGGCTGGCATGATGCTCCATGTTGTCAGGAACTCAGACTCCATTCATCTTGATGTTCTTTCCCGAAGGCTTCAACCTCACAGTCTCAACATGGCAGATTCTACTTTTAAATATGTTTATATGCATAAAAAGTGTAAAAAGCAACAAACCAGAATGTTTTGAGTGGCAAAATTAAAGATTTTTCTTTATATTTTGTCATCCAAATTATTACAAAAAGAATGTGATTTCCTTTATAATCAGGGAGAAGTGTTATTTTCATTTATTTATGTTTACATTTCTTTTCTTTTTCTTCTTTTTTCTCCTGTATGTATCCCATGTAGGCTAGAGAGCTTCAATCCCTGCCTCTTGAGGGAAATCAGCCCATTTTCGGGAAGTGCACTACACAAAGCTGCCCCATCTTCCCTTTATTTTTTATTTTTATTTATTTATTTATTTATTTATTTATTTATTTATTTTGAGATAGAGTCTCAGAGTGCAGTGGCGCATCTCAGCTCACTGCAACCTCCATCTCCCGAGTTCAAGCAATTCCCCTGCCTCAGCCTCCCAAGTAGCTGGGACTACAGGCATGCACTACCATGCCCAGCTAATTTTTGTATTTTTAGTAGAGAGCGGGGTTTACCATCTTGGACAGCCTGGTCTCAAACTCTTGACCTCAAGAGATCTGTCCGCCTTGGCCTCCCAAAGTGCTGGGATTACAGGCATGAGCCACTGTGCCTGGCCTGTCATATTATTTCTAAAAATTTCAGTGACATTTCAATTAAGTTAAATTTAATTCTTACTGACCTGATCTCTTTTCCTGTGTTTAATGATATCTTCCAGTTGAAAGGTATTTCCTCTGTAATCACAGGCACTAAAGGAAATACAACAAGTATTCTTTAGGTGGATATCCACTAAACCACGGATTCTCCCATTGTAGTCCTTAGACCCTCAGCATCAGCAACACGTGGGAACTTGTTAGACATGCAAATTCCTGGGCCAGCCCCACACCTCCTGAATCAGAAAGTGGGGAAGAGGGACAGCTGTCTGTCCTTTAATAAGCCTTGAGATGCTCCCTGAAGTTTGAAAACTACACAACTAGAATACATATGGCAGTAAGTGCTCATACTTTATCCCAGGTACCTTCCCCTCTTTTCCATTCTCTTTTCCGTTGAAATAAAATGAGAGCTCTTTTTGACTTAATGGGTATAAGAAAGAAGGCAATGAGATGAGCAGGGTTTCAAGTTAGAGTTCAAAATTTAATCAGTGGATGGTGACAGGGTGCAAGCCTTCTAAACAGATTACTGCAAGAAAGCTGATTATAATCTATACAGTAGGTATCATTAGTGTATTGATGTTAAATTTTTGGGGTGGGATTAATGGTATTGTGATTATATAGGAGAACGTCCTGGTTCCTAGAAGATATCTGCGAAAGTACTTAACACTGAAATGCTGATACTGGCAACTTACTTTGAAATGATTCAGGGGGGAAAAGGGCACATATACAATCTTCCATATGCAGGGGAGACAAAACAAATATGATAAAATGTTAATTGGTGAATCCAGTTGAATAGCATACTGATGTTCACTGTATTATTTTATCAACTTTTCTGTGTTTGCAAGTTTTTAAAATAAAAAGTTGAGGGAAAAGAAACATCACCCCAAATCTTCCTACAAAATGGAACCATAGAAAAACTTTGCAGAAGAGGGCACCGTACCCATCCGGACAGCATGGTCAAAGTGCAGGGTCTCCTCCAGCAGGCTATTCTCTGGTCTCTTCTGTGCTGTCACTTCCCCCAGACGCAACCAAGGCTTTTTTCTAACAACTCTTTTTCTAAAGGTGTAATTTTTTTCATTCATCTAAGAAAGAGACAAAAGAATTAGTATACATTGAGAAAATCAAATTACACTTATACTTGTGTAAAAGCAAAAAATACTTTGAAAAGTGGGGAAGCAAGAAATGTACTGTTCTACAATTCTGTCCTTACCATCTTTTTATTGTGCCAATGACTTCCTATTCCTGCTGCCTATGGTGGGGTGAGCTGCAAATGATTTCTTTTCCTCATTGATTTGAAATGCCATGTTTATAATATACTAAACTCCCCCAGAAGCATTTGGGTTTATTTCTGGGCTCTATTCTATTCAAGTGATCTATCTGTTCACAAGCCACTATCAATTTTGATTATTAGAGCACCCTAAAGTTAAGTTAAATAATTCTTTTTTTTCTTTTCGAGACAAAGTCTCTCGCTCTGTTGCCCAGGCTGGAGTGCAGTGGCGTGATTTCGGCTCACTGAAAGCTCCACCTCCCGGGTTCACACCATTCTCCTGCCTCAGCCTCCCGAGTAGCTGGGACTACAGGCACCCGCCACCTCGCCCGGCTAATTTTTTCTATTTTCAGAAGAGACGGGGTTTCACCGTGTTAGCCAGGATGGTCTCGATCTCCTGACCTCGTGATGTGTCTGCCTCGGCCTCCCAAAGTGCTGGGATTACAGGCATGAGCCGCCGCACCTGGCCAAGTAATTCTTTGATTAGGATATTAGTATTTGATGGAGCCTGACCCTTTTGACTCTAAACTCAAATTCTTATTATCTCTAACTTCTAAAAGTTATGAACAATTATGACTTCAATGTATAAAATGTCAGCTTTTTCAGCTACCTTACAGAATTCTCTTATTTTCCTAATATCGATTCCATTTATCCATTCGGTTTTCTCTCCAAACACTAATGTTTTCGTTTTAGTATCCCTAATCTTTTTTTTTTTTTTTTTTTTTTGAGACAGAGTCTTGCTCTGGAGTACAGTTGCATGATCTCAGCTCATTGCAACCTCCGACTCCCAGGCTCAAGCAGTCCTTTTACCTCAGTCTCCCAAGTAGCTGGGACCACAGGTGCATGTAACCACACCCAGCTAATTTTGTATTTTTTGCAGAGATGAGGTCTCACTACGTTGCCCACGCTGGTCTCAAACTCCTGAGCTCAAGTGCTGGGAGCTCCTGAGCTCCCAAAGTGCTGGGATTGCAGGTGAGAACCACTGCTCCTGGCAGTTTTCCTAATCCCTTCTCTTTATCTTTTGTAGTTGCACTGGCTTATGTGGTTATTAACTGTTAGTGTTAATTAACAGGGATAACTGCAATACTGGACATTTTGTCTTATTCCTGATCTTAAAGGGATGTTTCTACAGTTTCACTCATCATGCATGATGGCAGCTTTTGGCTAGATGTATTAATAATCCACTAGGAGTAAAAAAAATTAGAAATAAATATTGAATTTTATCAAATGTCTTTCTAACATATATGGAGGGAACCATGTATTTTCTTCTTAATGTCTTGCAACCAGGAATCATACCAGATCTTCCAGTAGTGATTCAAGGGAATGAGCTTCATGTGATTGTGCGGCATAATTTTCCCACTGTGCTATGTTTGCATCACTAGCCATGAATGAGAGAGTGTGTGTGTTTTAATGTTACCTTTGTCAGGTACCTTTGTCAGGTTTGGGTTTTCATGTTCGAACAGTTTCAAAAGAAAAAAGTTTGAAAGTTCTACTTTATTCTTTATATGTGGAAATTTCAATAAATTATTTGTGATTTATTGAAAATTTTACTTGAAGGTCTGATATAATTTCAAAGCAAAACCAAACCTTTTTTTCTTTCTTGTTGGGGGAGGGTGGGAGGAGCGGGACAGGAGGACATTAACTCGTTGATATTTTATGTTTTGTTTTTTCCCTTTAGAATTTATCTTCTGGGGACAATCTGACAATGATGAATTTAATTTAGATTCACAGATTTTAAAAATAATTCTTTTGATATTCTTGGTATCATTTATTTACCTATTCTGCAGCTCTGTTGCCCAGGCTGGAGTGCCATAGTCCAATCATAGCTCACTGCAGCCTTGAACTCCTGGACTCAAGCGATCATCCCCGATCAGCCTCTTGAGTAGCAGAGACTATAGGCTCACGCTACCACACCCAGCTAATTTTTTATATTTTTAGTGGAGATGGGGTTTCAACATGTTGCCCAGGCTGGTCTCGAACTCCTGGGCTCAAGCAATCCTCCCTTCTGAGCCTCCCAAAGTGCTGGGATTACAAGTGTGAGCTACTGTACCTGGCACTATTCTCATTTTTATAATAAAATTTTAAGATTGGATAAATAATATAGCCCAATTATTGGAGCCAGACTACATCTACTAAAATTAAATGAAATTTCACTTGTCTGAAATCATGACATACTTTGGAAGATATCTTTGTCATGGTATTAATTAAAATTACGGCTATTTGGCACTCACCAAAATCTGTGGAGCACCTTAAAGACATAGGCGGCATCCTCCGGAGCAGTCAAAACAGTTACAAGAAGAGGCTGTCGGGACAGCTTTGTCAGAAGAGACATGCTATGCATATAAAGACATAAGGGAGACAGAAAAGAAACAACCATTTTACACACAGGCCCCAAATTGAAAGCTATAGGCTGGGTAATGCAGGCACTGATTTTTGCAAATCAGATGCTTTCCATATGGCATCTCCATATAGTGTGCTTTTGCTTTAGAGAGTGGCAGCAAGATTTTTGGTTTTGTTTGTTTGTTTGAAGACAGGATCTTGCTCCACCGCCCAAGCTGGAGAGCAGTGATGTGATCATAGCTCACTGCAACATCAACCTCCTGGGCTCAAGTGATCCTCCTGCCTCAGCCACCTGAGTAGCTGGACTACAGGCATACACCACTATGCCCCCACTAATTTTTGTATTTTTTGAAGAGACAAGATCTCACTATGTCACCCAGGCTGATCTTGAACTCCTGAGCTCAAGCGATCCTCCTGCATCAGACAACCAAAGTTTTAGGATTACAGGCATAAGCCACTGCACCTGGCCAAGATATTTGTTTGCAAAGGATGGTTAATAGTTACAACAAGAAAAATAGGAAGGCTGGGGCACAGTGGCTCATGCCTGTAACCTCAGCACTTTGGGAGGCTGAGGCAGGAGGATCACCTGAGGTCAGGAGTTCGAGACCAGCCTGCCCAACACGGTGAAACCCCATGTCTTCTAAAAATACAAAAATTAGCCAGGCATGGTGTCATGCACCTCTAATCTCAGCTACTCAGGAGGCTGAGGCAGAATCACTTGAACCTGGGAGGTGGAGGCTGCAGTGAGCTGAGATCATGCCATTGCACTCCAGCCTGGGTGACAGAGCAAGACTCTATCTCAAGAAAAAAAAAAGAAAAATAGGGAAGATTTGTTAGTAGTCTGTGAGTTCCACAATCATGTCAAGCATATTAAAAATTCCTTAAATTCCTAATTACCTTTTCCTGTCTTTTTTTAAAAGAGGATTTAACTTCATCAGAATTTTTCTTTACATGTGAAACACCTGCATCTTCAATTGCCTCATCATCTGGCAAAGTGAAGGTCACTCTTTTCAAGCTTTCTTTACATTGTTTACTGTCTTCACTTTCTTCCAGGTCATCATCTTCATCCCTACACTACAAAATTCTTATAAAAAGAAATATACTGCTTTCCATTAGAAAAACAAAAGGAAACATATTTCCCTTAATAAAGTTCTTCTTTTATATGCCTAATGCAACCAAATACTCAGAAGTTCCAAAATCATTCAGGTATTAAGGAACAGAAGGTATCATTTAAGTGAAATGCTATGTAAGAAACAGAACAAAAAGTGTCCAATATATAGAAAATAAATTGTTCAATCTCACAGAAATAACAGGATTTTTGGGGCACAAAACCAAATCAAAGTTCCTGGTCAGAAAGGTTTGATTGCCATTGCCAGTAATATTTTTCTTCATTAAATGATCTCTAATGTCCCTTTAAATACACAGACTTTCCTGTGGCTATCTTGAGAATATCTGATAGGAGAGAATCTAACTTCTTAAAACAAACATATGTGAAAACCACAAGTACCAATACATGATTGGACAGTTCCAGCTCACAATATAAAGGATGGTTCAAATACTTACATTTCAGAAATGCTTAGTTCTTCTGCTGCTTCTTCAGCAATTTCATCAGCTTGTTTGAACCCAGATCATCATCATCATCACTTGCTATGTCTTCATCACTTTCAACTGGATCAAAAAAAGTCTTTGTCCTTCACATTTCTGGAACTTTTACCTGACTAAAATAAAAAGATTTTTAAAACTATTAATTAGGAAGAGAAAAATACATCGTTAGCACACACATATATATTTGTGTGTATACTGTATGTCTACGTTACTTTCTAACTTAATAACACTACAAGCCAAAAATAGTTATTAGGTGAAATCAGCAACTAAAAACATTACCATAAAACTATTATAAGAACAACTGGAACAGAAACTGAATGGAAGTACAGATTCATTTATAACTGATAAGATAGAGCACAATATTTCTTAGATCCAAATCTTCTAACTACAATTACATCTGTCCTAGAAAAACAGAACAAAAGGTAATTTGAGGAGGAGGAAAGTGCTCTCTCCTCTCTCAAAATTTTACCTTAAGTTTTTTTACTTCTAAACAGTGCCCCTTCATCTTCATCAGAATCAATATCTTAAAAAAATCAGTATCTTCTACGTCATCATCATTACCATCTTTTCGTTCCTCTTCTTCTTCTGTTTTCTAAATAGGCCTCCATTTCAGAGAGTTGGAAGAATTTCTCGTCTGCTATGGACTTTTCTCTTGGTTTCCCGTGTCCTTTGTTTCGCACCTTGCTCTGCTGTTCCAATTTGTTGATATGAAAGTCAAGGTCAGAATCCTCATCACTGAGAACTGGGCTTTTCGTCGGATCGAATTTGCTTGAGTTTGCTCTCTCACTCACTTCAGGATTGTCACCACCCATATCTGACACTTCCTCCTCCTCCTCTAAATCTTCTAGGTCCTCCTGGCCATCAGCCTCTGTCTCTGAACCATCCTCTTCATGCTCCTGTTCTTCACTCTCTGGGATACTGATATCTTCATCTTTGTTTCACTAACTGCATTCTGGAAGCTTTGTAAAATTGGGTCATTTTGCAATTCCAGTTGTTGCAAAGTCTGCTTATCATCAAAACTTTCTATCACAAGTTTTTGTAAAGGGCTTCCATGGATCCTACCATTCTCTAATATTTTATTAAGGTCATAAAGCACTTTTGTTAAAGAAGTGAACTTTGATGCCAATCCATCTTGAATCCTAATGGGAGGAATTAAATGAGATTTAGAGTTATAGTTGATAATTTCACAGCCCTCTTAATTAAAAGAAAAATAAAAACCACAACTCTTCTGTAAAATCAAATTTGAATGAAGTGTAAGTATAGATTCTGGCCCCAACAACATACAAGCTGATGAGCCACACTGATATATAAAACCTGTCAACCAAGTATTTGTGAATCAGCTGTACAGATTTTAGGCAGGAAAAGCATTACAAATCTATTTGCTTGGAGATATATAGTGAATTAGCCTTAAATTATCAACTCTGCTACATTATATACCACTCCATTCTTTCACTCATGTTAGTCAGGATGGTCTGGATCTCCTGACCTCATGATCCACCCACCTCGGCCTCCCAAAAAAGTGCTGGGATTACAGGCGTGAGCCACCGTGCCCGGCTGAATTTTTCTTTTTTATAAAATAGGCTTTATTTATTTATTTGTTTATTTATTTATTTTGAGATAGAGTCTCGCTCTGTCACCCAGGCTGGAGTGCAGTGGCGTGATCTGAGCTCACTGCAACCTCTGCCTCCCCGGTTCAAATGATTTTCCTGCCTCAGCCTCCCAAGTAGCTGGGACTACAGGTGAGTGCCACCACGCCTGGCTAATTTTTTGTATTTTTAGTAGAGATGGGGTTTCACCATGTTAACCAGGATGGTCTCGATCTCCCAACCTCACGATCTGCTCACCTCGGCCTCCCAAAGTGCTGAGATTACAGGCATAAGCCATCGCAGCTGGCTGGCTTTATTTTTTTTTTTAAAGCAGTTTTAGGTTCACAGCAAAATTGAGCAGAAAGTACACGCAGTTCCCATATACACCCTACCCACACACAGTCCCCATATACACCCTACCCACACAAAGTCCCCCTATACACCCTACTCACACACAGTCCCGTCCACTGTCAACCCCCCACACCAGAGTGGTACATTTGTTATAAACTATAAACATACACTGACACATTATTATCACTCAAAATCCATAGTTCACATTACTTTGTGGAGTTTCTATCATGAACAGGTCTTGAATTCTGTTTAATGCTTCTTCTGCTTCTACTGATACAATTGTGTTGTTTTTCTTAGTCTATTAATATTAATATGATAAAGTACAATGATGTATTTTAAAATATTGAATCCTTATATTCAGAAACGGACTCCATTTTGTTGTGATGTATTATCCTTTTTCTACATTACTGGATTTGACTTGCTAATGTTTGGTGGAAGCTTTTGTGTCTAGGTTCATAAGAGATACTGATCTATAGTTTCTTTTCAATGTTGTAATGTCTTTATCTGGTTTTGGGATTAGAGTAATGATGATATCATAAAATGAGTTGGGAGGTTTTTCCTCTGCTTCTCTTTTCTGGAAAAAAAATATGGAGAATAATTTTTTCACTGGTATAATTCACCAGTGTAATCATCTGAGCTTGAGCCTGTTGCTTTTTTGGAAGGTTTTTATTATTAATTTAATTTTTAGAAAATATGTATAGGGCGGCCGGGCGCGGTGGCTCATGCCTGTAATCCCAGCACTTTGGGAGGCCGAGGTGGGTGGATCACAAGGTCAGGAGATCAAGACAATCCTGGTTAACACGGTGAAACCCCGTCTCTACTAAAAATATAAAAAATTAGCCGGGCGCGGTGGCAGGCGCCTGTAGTCCCAGCTACTTGGGAGGCTGAGGCAGGAGAATGGCGTGAACCCCAGGAGGTGACGCTTGCAGTGAGCCGAGGTAGCGCCACTGCACTCTGGCCTGGGCGAAAGAGCAAGACTCCATCTCAGAAAAAAAAAAAAAAAGAAAATATGTATAGGGCTAGTCTGTTTTTCCTTGCATGAATTTATTAGTTTGTGTCTTTTAAGGAATTGGTCCACTTTATTTAAGGTATCAAATTTACAAGGATAAAGTTGCTTGTAGAATCTTAGAATCTTTTAAAAGTGCACGGTATCAATAATCAGTAGTAATGATTCTTCTTTCATTGCTGATATTGGTAATTTGTATTCTCTCTTTCTCTCATCTTGTACGCTCATGCCTGGGAAGAGGTTTATCAATTTTATTTACGTTTGTGAAAGCCTAGCTTTTGGTTTTGTTGAATTTTTCTATTGTTTTCCTGTTTAAAATTTTATTGATGTATATTCTAATTTGCATGGATTTCTTTTCTGTGTTCTCTTCAGGTTTAAATTGCTGTTCTTTCTCAAGCTCTTAAGGTGCAAGCGTAATTTATTTATATTATTAATTCTTACTTTGTAATATATGCATACAGAAACTGAGTGCTATAAATTATTTTCTAAGCACTGCTTTAGCTACAACCCATAAGTTTTGATGAGTTATATTTTCCTTTTCATTTATTCTGAAACACTTTTTGAGATTTCTTCTTTGGCTCATGGGCTTTTAGAAGCTACCATCTTAGTGCTGATATTATCCATTTGTTCTTGCACATTGTCTACTTTTTTCATGAGAGCCCTTAACATATTTATCACAGTTATTTTTACATTCCGTCTCTGGTACTCCAACATCTGTGTCGTATCTGAGTTTGATTCTGATGATTGCTTTCTCTTCAGACTGTTTTTTCCTGCCTTTGACGTGTCTTGTGTAATTTTTTTGTTAAAAGACAGATATTGCATTAGGTAATAACAACTGAGGTACATAGGCCTTTATGTGAGAATGTATGTTAATTTGGTTAAGAGTTAAGCTATGTTTAATGTTTGTTGCAGCCATAAGTATCAGAAGTTCCAAATTCCTTTAGTGTCTTTGTTTTGGCTCTTCGCCTGGCTTCACAGCTTGTCTCTGCACTGCTCCTCATAGTGAGTCTGTGTCTTTCAGTTCATTCCACTGAAAACAGCTGTAGTCACTGCTTTTAAACTCAAGCTTTATAACAGTGATGATAGGATATAGAAGACAGTAAGCATTCTCCAACCTTCTAATGAAGTGTGGGTCATTTCCTAAGCCAGTAGCTCATGGCTGTGGCTATCCCAGCTGTGTCTGCCTTTCCTCCAGTAGCATGTTCACCTTCTAGCTCCTTTCCCTGGCTGCCGAGCTCCCAGTATATCTCCATGAAGCACTCTATCCATTGATGATTATTTCTGCCACTACGTGATGAAAGAAGGCTAAAGAGAGCTGAAGTGAGGGGGGATTCCTTTCCCCAAGCTTGGATACAGTATCAGAATGGAGCTCTGGTAAAGTCCTTCCCCTGGAGAAGGCTCTGGTTACATTTCACAATGGTCACTCTTTCCTTCTTCTGCAAAGGCATGAAGGGATCTTTTGGGGATTCTTACCATAAAAATATGGCGAGGTTACTGGAGGGAGCCTCCTAAGAAACTCTTCCTCCAGCAGTTTGTTAAAATTGTCATTTCATTGTTTGGACCAATAGCTCTAGAGGCTCCTGCTGTCTGAAGCACATCTCTAGGCTTTATCAGTTGCAGTGTCTGTTTGTACCTCTCTTTTTAGATTTTGGGGTGGTTATCTGTCCTGTGCAGTGCAATTGTCATGCTATCTACACAGAATTAGGTCAAACCTCACAGGTCAAGGGCACAGGGCCTTAAAAGGGCCTCCCTCATTTCAGACATCAGCTACAAGCAGGGGAGGGGGCTTCCAGGACACACACACTTCTGACCAACTGGCTACAAAGCTGGAGATTCCCACTACCCACTCAAATTGGATACACAACTTTGCTAGAATAACACATTACTCAGGAAAAAGCTGTAGTTATAATTACAGTTATATAATAAAGGATGTAAATCAGGACCAGCCAAAGAAAGAAACCGTTAGGGTAAGGTTTAGGAGGACCTGAGACACACGACTTCCGCTTCCTCAGGACAAGTCACCCTCCTGGCGCATCGATGTGTATCACTACCCAGGAAAGCACACCTGAGCTTCCGTGGCCAAAGTTTTTATCAGGGTTTCATTATGGACACATGACGGATTGAATCTTTGGCCACATTATTGAGCTCAGCCTCTAGCCTCTCTCTCCTCCCAGAAGGCTGGGCTGATAGCACATGCTTCGAAGCCCAACCCTTGAATCACACAGTTGTTCTTTCTGGTGTGATGGGCCCCATCCTGTGTCATCTCCACAGCATAAGCTCAGATATTGTCAGGCCCGCCATCAGTAACAAAATATAATTGTATCATAGGAAACTTCAAGGGTTTAGAGGGCTCCTCTCAGGACCCAGAGAAAAAGATCAGCCAAATTAATTACTATGCAACAAGCCACCCCTTGTTCTTTGACTGCGATTCTTGTTATATGACTAATATCTGGGGGAGCCAGAAAACTTTTAACTGAATTTCACAATACATTTGGCTCTCGATGTCAATATTATAATCTTACCAACAGTGCCAGTATTACATCACAGCATGGCAGATGTCACCTGACTGTACTTTGTCTGCCCTGAAACATTGGAGCTCTATCTATATTTCTCTTTGAAAGCTCCTAATTGACCTGAGAGAAATGGTACCATTTCCCTGTGGTAAAGCAAGTCCTTCACTAGTGACCTCATCTGGCATTGTTTCCTATAAGAGAGCTGTCCTGGAGCTCAGATCATTTTGGACATAAAAGCTATGTAGCCTAGAATATGACTTAAAGGGTCCAATGGCTATGCCCCCAAACACATTGTATCCTTATATATGGACTTTGCCTCGGGAGTCACTGCACCCACAAAACTGTAACAAGGAGCCCTTTGCTTCAGTTTGAGTCTTTACCTCTCCTCTCTTTTCCTGGCCCTTAGTTTTAAGTCATGAGCATAGACCATGCAGACCTTTATGGAAGCTCTCTTAAGTCATAGGCTGGAAGGGGCCCAGTCTCTCTCTTTACCGCTCTGTTCGTCTTATGTACAGTGAACATCTTGTCTCTCACAATTGACTTCAAGCCACACAGGTCCTCTCTACAGAAATATCTTCTTATTGCTTGTTTTCAGAGCATCTTTCCAAAGTTCTTCTTATTCTATGTAATTCAAATTATTGTGATTTCTCACATGGACTCTTACAAATGCCTCCTTACTATTCTCCCAACTTCTTTCTACTTCATTATGTAGTACGCAGGCTTCCCAAGAAAAGAAGGATTATATATTATTAAAGAGGCTTGGCCGGGGGCGGTAGCTCACACCTGTAATCCCAGCACTTTGGGAGGCCGAGGCGGGTGGATCACTTGAGGTCAGGAGTTTGAGAACAGCCTGGCCAACAGGGTGAAACCCCATTTCTACAGAAAATACAAAAATTAGCTGGGCATGTTGGCACGCATCTGTAATCCCAGCTACTCCGGAGGCTGAGGTGAGAGAATCGCTTGAACCCAAGAGGTGGAGGTTGCAGTGAGCTGAGATTGTGCCATTGCACTCCAGCCTGGGCAACAGAGTGAGACTCCATCTCATTGAGGGAAGACAAAGACCCTCTCATATTGTTTTATATTGTTTCATACTCAGTACCTGTTTAAAGAAAAAAGAAAAAAAACAAGGAAGTGAAATCAAAGACAGGCAGCCTGGCACCAGGCCCAAAACCAGGCCTGGGCCTGCCCGGCCTAAACCTAGTAGTTAAAAATCAACTCATGACTTAGAACCCGATGTTACCCATAGATTTCAGGCATTGTATAAAAGAATATTATGAAACTCCCTGCTCTGTTCTGTTTCACTCTGACCACCAGTGCATGAAACCCCTGTCATGTATCCCCTCGATTGCTCAATCAATCACGACCCTTTCACATGAAATCTTTAGTGTTGTGAGCCCTTAAAAGGGATGGAAATTGTGCACTCGAAGAAGCTCGGATTTTAAGGCAGTAGCTTGCTGATGCTCCCAGTTGAATAAAGCCCTTCCTTCTACAACTCGGTGTCTGAGAGGTTTTGTCTGCGGCTCATCCTGCTACATCATAACATAACATAACATAACATAACATAACATAACATAACATAACATAACATAGCATAAAATAGCTAGGTCTCTTGTCACAAATTCATTTCATTAAGTATTGGCGAAAGGTATGTATTCTGGGCTTTCCCTGTGTGAATGAGTAATTCCTAAATGATAAGTTAACTCCATCATTCTAATTTTCCTTAGTCTTTGAATCCCTTCCTCTACATTAAATCAAGGGATATCTGGCATTTCCAATTCACTCACAGTGGGACATCTTTTGATCCAGATTGCAGCCAACAAACCAAACTGGTAGAGCCTTTTGTAACTCCCTGAACTACAACATTAAATGCAGAATCTCTGCTCTGTGGGACCGTATCAACAAACGGGGAACTTTATGTTCCTTCCACCATTGTCTCATACCCCTGTCAATCGAGAAAAATGATGAGACAAATCTCAATCATTTTAGGAGGTTTATTTGCCAAAGTTAAGGATGCATGCCCAGGAGACAGGTCTATGCCTTTCTTCAAAGATGATTTTGAGGGCTCCAAATTTAAAGAGGAAAGGGCAGGATATTGAGAGGTACACAATTTTCATGTGAGAGTGGGGTAGGGAAAAATATTCATTTATTTGTCTGGCTCAGTGAATTTGCATTGTTTTACATAAGATGACATAGACAAATGGGGCAGAGGAAAAATGCTGGAATCTGCATTTTTACATAAGATAACAGACAAAATGGGGCAGGGGACCGATCAGATATGCATTTGTGTCTGGAGGGCAGGGGGGTGACTGCACTGTAAAGACAATTGACATTATCATGGTGAAATTTTAACAGACACACCTTAGGGTAAAGATCTTGGAGCTCACTAGGAATTTCCTCATGGACAAAATGTGGGGGAGGCATGAAGATTTTCATCTTGTAGCCATCTTAGTTAGGAAGCAAAAGGGGAGGCAGGTTTGCATGACCCAGTTCCCAGCTTAACTTTTCCCTTCGGCTTAATGAGTTTGGCATCCCAATATTTATTTTCCTTTCACACCCCTAATATCCATTCCCACACATGTTCCCCAGTTTCCTACCTGTTCCTGGATGTAGTCAGCCTCCTCAGAGATCATACTCTGTAACTCACCTTAGGGGATTGCGGGACTGGAGTCTACTTATAGGTCTAGAATATGGGTGTCCAATCTTTTGGCTTCCCTGGGCCACATTAGAAGAAGAATTGTCTTGGGCCACACATAAACTACAGTAACACTAATGATAGCTGATGGGCTAAAAAAAGAAAATAGCAAAAAAATTTCATAATTTTTTTTTTTTTGAGACAGAGTCTCGCTGTCGCCCAGGCTGGAGTGCAGTGGCGCAATCTCGGCTCACTGCAAGCTCTTCCCCCTGGGCTCACGCCATTCTCCTGCCTCAGCCTCCCAAGTAGCTGGGACTACAGGCTCCGGAGACCACACTCGGCTAATTTTTTGTGTTTTTAGTAGAGATGGGGTTTTACCATGTTAGCCAGGATGGTCTCGATCTCCTGACCTCGTGATCTGCCTGCCTTGGCCTCCCAAAGTGCTGGGATTACAGGCGTGAGCCACCGCGCCTGGCCAAAAAATTTCATAGTTTTAAGAAAGTTAACGAATTTGTATGGGACTGCATTCAAAGCTGTCTTGGGCCACATGTGGCCTGCAGGCCACAGGTTGGATGAACTTGGCCTAAAAGCAAAGAGGGGTGGTGGGGTGGCTCCTAAGGAGAATCAGCATTGTCTTGCTCCACAGCTGCCTTACGGGAGGCCATTCCCATTTCCTCAGGCAGTGCAGGGTTATCCCCTCAGACAGAGGTGGAAAGGTTGATGCCACTGGGGATGGGGAGGCACTTCCTCTGGGGTTGGGGAATTCACTTTTGCCAGGGGTGGGGTGGCTACTTCTGCTGGTGGTAGGGAGACCTGTTCCACTGGTGAGAAAGAAAAGTGGCTCCGAGTCGTCTTAGAAATGTGAGGTCTGCAAAATTTATCGGGCCCTGAGAGATGAGCACGAGGCTTCACTCATGTCCTGGCACCCGTGCCTGGGCATAATTGTTTAAAGGCACTTTGGCTTTCTTTCCTTTCCTGCAGTTTCCAGACTAGCGGATAAATTTCCTAAAACATTACCATAAGTTGCACAATGTGGCCCTCACCCAATATCTTCATGTTCCTGGAATCTGTGATACAAAAACAATGCATAGCCAACAAATAGTTTGTGTTGTGTTATTTTAATGAACCTATGTAGATTATTGATAAGCAACTTAGAAACTGCCCCCAGCTTATTTTTTCTCTTAAACACCCACTTGTAACTGCTGCTAATCTGGGTATATATGTAGGGCAACTTGAATCTATTACTCCTAGGCTGCAGTCCTTAATCTTGGCCCATATAAACTCTCTACTTATATTAATTTTGCCTCATTTTCTTTCCTTAAGTTGACATGGGCAACAAAGGCTCATCAGAGGGGCTCAATGTTCCCAGCTTTACCAAGGCTTTCCATCCCAATTTACAGGATCCCATTTTTTTCCCAGTCAATGCCCTCACTTTATCAGTGGGCACCCTGTGAGGCTGGGAGTTATATTTGCCTTGTAATTCAGCCAATCACAGGATAAAGTCTTGCATTTGATTTTCAGCAATTTCAGCCCTGAAGCTACAAGACCTAACACTCTCCCTCAGGGTGCACCTAGAAGGTCTTAGGTCATTTGTGTGGTGCTTGAGCTGGGAATTATTGTCATTATTTTCCTTAGTTTTCCAAAATCTTTTGAAAGTATTATATATCGCATTACTTTAGTTGACTAGGACTATCCAATGCAGATATTTTGGGTATCTCAATAAAAAATTCACGTCATGGACTATCAGTAATATCTTACCACTGAAAGTAAAGTCATTAGTATTTTCAAGTTTAATCATATTAGAGAAACAATTCCAGAAACCTCAAAACCAATTCACAGAATTTATCCTTAAAATTCTGTTCCTCTAGATCCACTCTTGGGGCAAAAATCTGTATTATTCAGGTTTCTCCAGAAAAATAGAACCAATCTGATATAGATAGGTAGATAGGTAGATAGGTACACAGCTAGCTAGCTACCTATCTGTATCTCATATCTCCTCTTGAAACAGGAGAGTTCCCTGATCCCCTACACAGGATGATTGGTGGGTGTGGCTCATCTGTTCTGCTGCCTCCTGCTCAAACCCCTCATGGGAGGGGAAGCACGCAGACAGGGAGGTGTAGGAGCTGGGGCAAGCACTTTTGGACTCTGGCCCCACGTTACCATATATGGGTGGGTGCCTGCAACTCCCAAAGCTCCAGTGGGCATATTACAGTACTCTTTAGCTCTGCCATCTGCAGACCACTTAAGTGTTAACCAGCTCAGTGCCCTCTTGGTACCAAGGTCCTTGCCTGGCATCCAGGAAGAATCAGGTGACATGGAAAAATTGAAGGATGACAAATGTGGGGGATTTTATTGCCAGACGGAAGTGGCTCTCAGCAGGGTGGATGGGGAGCTGGAGAGGAGTTGCAGTAGGAAGATGATCTTCCTCTGGAGTTTGGCCATCCCGTGGCCAATCTGTTCTCCAACCATCCCCAGCCAACCACCTCTCGATGTTCAGACGTTCCTTCTCTTCTCTCCTTCTCTGCCACCCTGCTCTTCCAACCCTCTGCTCTTCTGCTTGTGAAGCCTGGGACTTGGGGTTTATAAGGGTTCAGGAGAGGGGGGCATGGTGGGCCAAAAGGCAACAGCTGGGTGCAAAAACAGGAATGACTGTTCCCATTTAGGGCTGCAGGTTTCCTGGCTTCAGGGTGGGGCCTTTGACAGGGAACCGCCTCTTCTACCCAGTATTTCCCTGTCGCCTGTGCATATCACTCTTATCCCTGTAGATAGATAATAGATTCTCTATCTCTGTGGATAGGTGCAGAGATAAGAGGAGATCTATAATCAGAATTGGCTTACATAATTATGAAGGCCAAGAAATCCCACAATATGCCACCTATAACCTGCAGACCTATGAAAACTGGTGGCACAATTCAGTCTGAGTCCAAAGGCCTGAGAACCAACAGAGTGAATGGTGAAACTACCAGTCTGAGTCCAAAGACCTGAGTACCAGGAGATATGATGTCTAAGGGCAGGAAAAGTATGTCCCAGCTCAAGGAGAAAGATAATTTGCACTTCCTCTGCCCTTCTTGTTCTATCTAGGCCTTCAATGAACTAGGTGATGCCTGCCCACATTTGTGAGGGCAGATCTTGTTTGTCTATTGAATCAAATACTAATCTTTTGTCTATACCTCAATAAAGCTGAAAAAAACTAAAGTAATTGCACACTT
The DNA here is from genome assembly GCF_000001405.40 of Homo sapiens. Lineage (NCBI taxonomy): Eukaryota > Metazoa > Chordata > Mammalia > Primates > Hominidae > Homo > Homo sapiens. The sequence goes on from NW_012132920.1 coordinate 2,028,893, forward strand.
CCAAAAACAAAAAATATAAACAAATACTATTTTCCAAAAACACCCTCACACACTTAGAAATGTTTTACCAGCTATCTACCAAGTCAACTTAATGTTTAACTTTAAACATTACATCCTTTAATCTAGCATAACATCTTTTAAATTCATCAACATTTGTGTAGATCAACAGTTACAGTTCTTTTCTTTTGGCACTTGAAAAATATTGTGCCACTTCCTACTTGCCCCCATGGCTTTAGATAAGAAATTCACTGTCATTCCAATTCATGTGCCCCTAAGGATAACAAGTCATGTTTCTGTGCCTGCTTTCAATATTTTCTGTCTTTTCAGAAGTTTAGTATGATGTGTCCTGGTATATATTTCTTTGGGTTCATACTATTTGGGATATATTAAACTTCTTGAATCTGAGTGTATTTCGTTTAACAAATTTGGGAAATGTTTACCCATTATGTCTTCAAATACTCTTTCAGCCCCACTGACTTTCTCCTCTTCTTCCCCAACTCCGATAATATTAATGTTGGATCTTTTGTTATTGGTCTGTGAAGTTCTGTTCATTATTTTCAGTCTATTTCCTCTATTGTTCAGATTAGGGAAATTCTACACATTTTCAAGTTCACTGATCATATCTCCTGCCCTCCACCCTCTACTATTGAGCCCACCTAGAAAGCTTTTAATTTCTGTTACTGCATTTATCTGTTTCATGAATGTCTTGTTTCTTTTTTATAACTCCTATTTCTTTGCTAGAATATTCCATTTTTTCATTTAAGATAATTTTTTTATTACTTGAACCATTTTTATGCTGGTTGCTTTGAAATTGTTGTCAGATAATTCCAACATGTGGTTTATTTCACTGTTAACATCAACTGATTGCCTTTTGTCATTTCAATTCCCATTTCCCTGTGCCTTGCGCATTTTTTATATTATGTTAGGAAATCTGGGTTCTATTTACATTTTGTTTAATTTTAGTAAGCATTCACCTTTTTGGATTCAGCATGCCGGTCTGGACCTAATTTGAAGGATTTGACTCCTACGACAATTTAATTTTCAGTCTTTGCAGAGCTATTTTAGTTTGCTTTTTAAAAAAATATCATTCCACTGGGGCTCCTACTGGTTTCTGATGGAGCTTCCCCAGGATCAGTTGTCTGTATCTCTAAGTGAATGAATGGAGACTCCGTCCTACAGGGGCAGAGTGCTTCCCTGGCCAAGTGCACATTGCAGTGTGAATTCCCTTCCCTGTGCCCTTGGTTGTGCAGTGTCTCTGGTGAAGGAGGTGAGTTGCGTCCTTTGTGGGAAAGAATTGGAAAGTTGGATTTTGGCAATTCCAGTTGCTAGTGCCCTCAACCAAGGGCTTGGGAACAGGGGTGGAAGGAGAGGAGTAGAGACGTAGAGAAAATGGTGTCTCACACTTGGTGAAAAAGTAGAGTTTTCTGGCAGCTTACCGTTAACAGGGCTTCTAATCAACCCGTCTCCATTGTTGGTTCTCCTCTGCTTGCCTGCTATTTCTGGCAGAACTCTCATTTGTTGCAGAAGAATGAGCCTACTTGAGCTACCTTCTGTTACTACATTGGGAGGTGGGAATTGTCAAGCCTGGATCACCTCTCTTGTTGGATGGGGGTTGTATTTTGTGCCTCCAGAATCGAGGCCCCGACCAATTCACCTTCCTCTTACCACCTTTCAGAATTCTCCTGTAGCTGTTCCTTTTACTATTCTCAGTGTTTATAATTGTACTTAGTAGGGAGGAGCAGAGAATGACAAGTCAAGGTGATTCTGTCAACTCTCAAAGTCTTGTCTATTTAAATTTTTAGAAGTAAAAACAGAATCTCTGAATCTGGCAAATACGTATCTGACAGTGGTAGCCTATTGCCCATTTTCTAGGTTTGGTTCAGTTCCACAGATCTAGATGTTGTATGATGAAGGAGAATCCACATACAGTTAAGAAACGAGTTTGCGGCCGCGCACGGTGGCTCACACCTGTAATCCCAGCACTTTGGGAGGCCGAGGCGGGTGGATCACAAGGTAAAGAGATTGAGACCATCCTGGCTAACATGGTGAATACCCGTCTCTACTAAAACTACAACAAAATTAGCCAGGTGTGGTGGCAGGCGCCTGTAGTCTCAGCTACTTGGGAGGCTGAGGCAGGAGAATGGCGTGAACCCGGGAGGTGGAGCTTGCAGTGAGCCGAGATCGCACCACTGCACTCCAGCCTGGGCGACAGAGCAAAAAAAAAAAAAAAAAAAAGAAACAGACTATGGAATAAGTATCATTATATACCTTGGACAAATGGCAGAGCTTACTGCTTTCATTTTTAAAAAAAATTAAAAATGCATCAAGGTTTTAGAAATTAAAAAATTTTATTCTTGAAATAAAAATCTCAATAGATGGGTTGAATAGCAAAATGGATTGAAGAGTAAATCAGTGAACCAGAATATCATGCTAAGTAATTCTCCCAGAATGCAGTGCAAAACAATAGATGGAAAGAATGAACAAAATGTTATGAGACATGAATGACAGCTGTAAAAGTTCCACTATCTGCTTAATATGAATTACAGGAGAGAAGAAAATTAAGGAAGGAGAGTGCCTAAAACAAGGCAAAAATTTAAGACAATTTCTTAGAAATTGGAAATACTCATATTGAGAGGAACCAGTGAATATTTACAGGAAGAATGTAAAAAGACTGACATGTAAGTAAATCATGATAAAATTTCAGGATACTAAGGATAAGGAGGAAACTGAATGTTTTCAGCGTGAAAACAATTGTGTGGGATGGAATAAGATCGATACCAGACTTCACATTGGCAACATGGTAAGTAAGAAAACAGAATAATGTCTTTACAGTTTTCTGGTGAAAATACTTGTGAACTTATGATTCTTGTTAAAGCGAACTAAATATGGCCTGAGGACTCTGTACTTCTGTATTTGAGTCCTTGTGGACTAACCATAACCTAACTTAATAGACAAGATTGAAAACCTAGCTTAGGAGTATGCATCTGTAACAGCAGCTGAGTCTTGGCCAATCCCAGCAACTATACTTCAATCACTCATACACTGCTGAGGGTTCAAACTGTGTTCAAATAAGGCAAATGCCAACCTGTAACCAATCCAGCTGTTTCTTTACCTCACTTTCAATTTCTGTGTGTCACTTTCCTTTTCTTGTCTATACATTTGTTCTGACCATGAGGCATCCCTGAAGTCTCTCTGAATCTGCTGTGGTTTTTTTTTCTTGCTCAATTAAATTCCATTTAATTTGAAGTTTTCTTTTAATATTGTTTAACCAGCCAAAGTGCAAGTGAATGTGAGGGCATCATAAAGACATTTTAAGACACAAAAACAGATTCAAAAAGTTTATAATTCACTGTCCACATAGACTAACCTTTCTCAACAGGGTACCATTGGCATTTGGGGTGGAACAGTCCTTCGTTGTGTAAGATTGATCCACACATTGCAGGTTGCTTAGTGTCCTTGACCATCATCCACTAAATGCCAGTAGCATTTCTCCTCCCCGTGACAATACACAACAGCCCCACATTTGGAGACAGTGCTGTATCACCTCTGGTTGAGAAACCATGGTGTAGAAAATATATTCAAAAAGAAAATAAATCTGGGAAGAAAAAAAGGGATATAAGAAGCACAGGTGAGCAAGATAATCAGTGAAGTTTACTTTTAAGTCTAAATTATAAAAATAAACCTATAATAAAAAACTAAAATCTGAAATAACTCGGGATGGAAAGTTATGAAGTCTGGAAAGGAGGAAGGAGAGAGAAGTAAAAGCATGCTAGGAGTCTCATTTTATCTATACGATTAGCTCTGGATGTCAATCATATGTGTAGCTATGTGTATAAAAATATAAAGATATAGGAACTAAACATATACTTTTCAAGTCATTAGAAGAAAAATTAGTTGGGAACAAGTAAAATGCCAGCAGCTAACTGAAGATCAGGGATGAAAAAGAAACAAAAACAGCATATAAAATAGAAAGCATGGCCAGGCGCTGTGGCTCACGCCTGTAATCCCAGCACTTTGGGAGGCCGAGGTGGGCAGATCACAAGGTCAGGAGATCCAGACCATCCTGGCTAACACGGTGAAACCTCGTTTCTACAAAAAATACAAAAAAATTAGCCGATCGTGGTGGCAGGCACCTGTAGTCCCAGCTACTCAGGAGGCTGAGGCAGGAGAATGGCGTGAACGCGGGAGGCAGAGCTTGCAGTGAGCCGAGATTGCGCCACTGCACTCCAGCCTGGGCTACAGAGCGAGACTCCATCTCAAAAAAACAAACAAACAAAAAAAGTGATTATATGCTTTATTTCAAAGATGAAATTTATGACTATACAGCAAAATAAAATTGGGATAAAAAATAACCTGAAAATCAGGAAACAGGAGAAACAGTCTAAACATTTATTTTGTGATCTTGCCTAATTATTTTTCTTATAGTCAATAAGGAATAATTTAAAATGACCTTATTCCTGAGTACCTGGAGACTTCTAAGAAGTTTTGAAAAATAATTTTATGTTGAAGAATCATACCACAAAATACTTCCAAGATATATATGTGTTGCCATCCTAGTTACTATAAACCAGAGAAAAATGTTCTAATTGCTCTTTTTAATGAATATGTACAAAAATGCTTCATTATAAATCTAGAATATAGGAATATGTTCAATAATTGATTTTTGCAAAAAGTCTGTTTTTTTTTTTCTCTAAAGCAGGGAGAGAACTGTAGCTTCATGATCTGAGATATCAGGCAAGGAAGTCCTCCCCTATTCTTTCTTAAGGGATAAGCTCTTTATATTCCTCTCTCCAGTCCCTCAGAGACAGCATCACATAACTCCCCTATGCTCTGTGCTCTGTTGGCTCCATCCTCGGGGACAAGTGCTATTTCACATCTTACTCTTAAATCACTTCTGAGAAACAGACATAGCTTCCACCAAAGAGGAGCCCTCCCAACAGACCTCTAATAACACCAAAGGGTTTCCATGTGTGTGCCCTTAAGCGAACATACACAAATGAAATGAATCTATAGATTGATAATGAAGCCAGTTTTTATAAGTGACACATGAATATCAGTCGATTAGACACACTCCTGCCGAGTACTGTAACAAATCTCTTCATTTTTACCACATACATGAATAGCTGTCCCATATATTCATAAAACATAAGAATTTTTTTCTTGATTAATAAACTTCATTTTTTAGAGTAGTTTTAGGCTCACAGCAAAATTGAGTGGAAAGTAGAAGAGTTCCCATAGACTCCCTACTCCCATACACACACAGCTTCCCCCACTGTCAACATCCTGCACCAGAATGATGCATTTGCTATAATCGATGAACCTACACTGACACATCACTATCACCCAGAGTCCACAGTTTACATTAGGGTTCGATAAAATAATTTTTTACAACTTAAATCCCCCAATAAACTTAACATTACTTCTCTGGGCCATACATTTTTCTGCATCAGTAAAATGGGATAAGAATATTTATTTGGAGCTGGGAGTGGTGGTGCATGCCTGTAGTCTCAGCTTCTTGGGAGGCTGAGGTGGGAGGATTGCTTAAGCCCAGGAGTTTGACGCTGCAGTGAACCATGATTGCATCACTGCACTAAAGCCTGGGCAGCAGAGTGAGACCCTGTCTCAAAACAAAACAAAATAAAACAAAGACAACAAAAAGGTAATATTTGGAAGGTTTTGTGAGTATTATTGGGATACATTATGAAAAGTGCTAGCACATTATAAGTATTCAGTTACGGTTATTTAAGTTTATCATTAAGATCGTTATAACCTGTAGGAACTGACACTGCTACCCCAATCCTGTCTTTGAAGGAGCAAACCCATATGGGAGTAAAAATGACTGGCTCCCCTCCCTGCCTTGACCTGTCATTTGAGTCTACCTAATTATAAAACAAACAGGGTTTTAAGTTTTGAACCTATTCCCTGTCATGGTGGGTAGAAAATCAATCACTACACCTGTATTTATAAAACAATCAGAACAGAGGAAAAGACACAATTTTGAATTCCAGCCACACATTAAAACAACCCATATTTATAAAACAATCAGAACAGAGGAAAAGACATGATTTTGAATTCCAGCCATGCATTAATTGTGTGCATTTAGGCACATCACTTAAGCCTGTTAAAATTCATTTTATCCACCGAAAGCACTTTATATACTTAAACGAACTATGCTCATTTACAGGGTTCTGTGCATGATCCTGCATCCGTAAAACTGAGAAACCAACAGAATGAGGACAGAATGAAAAAAGAAAAAAACTTTCAGAATGTTCTTCCTTTCCTCAATGCCATACAGTTTGTGCAGTCAGCTGATTGGCTGAAAAGAGTCAGTTTTGACGACTGATGCTTCCTGCTCATGTTTAGTTGGTTTAGGAAGCTCATTAGGATGCTATCTCGGAGATGAGTCTGGTGGGTAGAATATCTGATGACTCTAAGGCAAATGTACTTCCTTCAGCTGGTGAATTAATTTCTCAATAGACTCAATTTGCTTTTTACTGTCTGGCAATATCCCATATTTGCAATGGCCTTTCAAACACTTGCAATAAAATGTGGCTCACACATACAACCTGTTAGCGGTGAAAGAGAAACATTCATCACATTCAAAATTCTCCAAACATGAGAGCAGCTGAATGTGCTTTAAGACAGTATACCTAATGATACATCTCTATTTTCCCCTTCCTCTTACAATCATTTACACAGATATATGAGAGGTAAATATGTGTTTAGAAAGTATTAGTCATCATAGATGTACCTCCAGTCATCCATTCAAATGTAAACATGGTAAAATATGCACTTGTACAATTTTATACTATCAATGAGTATAGGTAGGTGAAAATTAGTGTTGCCAGAAAAAATTCAAACCAGAAAACTGAAAGTATAGAAAAATACTTTTTATTTTGTCATTGAAAAACCATTTTAAAATAATATATCGTGTAGAATAAAAAATTCCATGAATATATACATGTAAATTATACATATATGTGAATTTAATTTTGTTAAAAGGTAATTGGCATCTGCAATTTCATGCAGTCTAAGTGAAACCCATAAAGAAATGTGTATGAAATAGGAAAGCAACAAAAGCTCATAACATTTTAAAATTAGAAATCAGATTCAAAACCCATCATGATCTATTTTAAATTTATCTCTATAACATTTCAATTGAGACATAAAACACACTTTATACAACATGCCTCACTATTTTATTAACAGCATGACTTCCCTTTCCCCAATCCCCAAACCATGTTCCCATCTACACCCCACCCCACCCAACTCTCACCTCTTCCATTAGCATTATTACAAACATATTTTACAAATCTTATACCAAGCTTTTCCACTGTCTCTTTTCAATGTAGAAATATCTTATATATAAACCCAAATACCACAAATCTTCACATTTATATTTTCTAAAGCAGTTAAACCTTTATAGACAATTCTACCTAAAAAGCCAAATGTGCTTGACAATATGTCATGTTATGTTAAGTTGACCAGACACAGAAGTCATTTCTGTCGGATTTCTTGTCGATGTTTGCATTAAGTTGGAGCTTTCTGATCTCGGCTCTTCTTGTGCCAGTAATTTGAAAGGTCACCTCTCTGTTGGCCTTTGGTTTATGCAATGCAGTCTGGCATTGCATAATTAAAAGTCTCGGCCGGGCACGGTGGCTCACGCCTGTAATCCCAGCACTTTCGGAGGCCGAGGCGGGCGGATCCCAAGGTCAGGAGATCCAGACCATCCTGGCTAACACGGTGAAACCCAGTCTGCACTAAAAATACAAAAAAATTAGCTGGATGTGGTGGTGGGCGCCAGTAGTTCCAGCTACTCGCGAGGCAGAGGCAGGAGAATGGCGTGAACCCGGGAGGGGGAGCTTGCGGTGAGCCAAGATCGCGCCATTGCACTCCAGCCTGGGCTACAGAGTGAGACTCCGTCTCAAAAAAAAGAAAGAAAAAAAAAGTCTTGTGAATTTGTACATAGAATATTGAAGTTAGAAGAGGCTTATCACTCTCTGGGCTCTAATACTGCCCAGAGGTTATTTGTTTCTTGTTTCCATAAGAAAATCCTATGTCTCTCCATTAGCATTCCTGATCCTTACCTCCAATTCAAAATGTGGCCAGTTCCACCTTCTAAGCCTTTATACCAAATTGACTGGGTAGGTTTATTATGAATCTGTGTTCTTGTCCAAACTCTACATTAGACCTCGCAGGAGAGTTCAAACTAAAAACTAATGAGTAAGTGCAATATTACAATTGAAACGGGAGCAAACATAATTTCAAGTAGGACACATAAAAACTGTGGGACCAAAAGAGGAAGAGTGCACGCCAAATGTTCTCAATTCTGAAATGGCTCTTGTGAAATATCTATGTGAAAACACTTCAAGGACCTGAAAAAAAAAAAAATGGTGAAAAAGCGAACAACCTTCCTTGCAAAACAACTCCAGAGTTAATGCCAGAGCTTTCTATCAAAACATCCATGTTAAGTTCGCCGGAAAGATTCAGAAGATCAATGACAGGAGTAAGGGAAAAAACAAGGACATTTTGTGAGTAGGAACGTATAATGACCCTGCAGCAGGAGAACGAGAGAGGGGGAAGAAGGAAATGGAGGGTGTAAGTGAATTAATTGACTGTAACATGTTTAATGAAATAAGTAGACGTGTGATGCAAATTTCTTAATAGTCAAACGTTATGCAACATATGATGCATAAGAATTGTACTATCTCAAATTTTTTTTAATGTGAGATTCTCTTGATGCCACTTTCATTTACCTACACACACACAAATAGCACAAATCACATATACATATACTGACACGAAAATATATATGTGGGAGGGAGAGAAAGAGGGAGGATAACTTTAATCATGATACACTGCCAATATAAGAACTCCCTTTTGGCCGGGCGCGATGGCTCACACCTGTAATCCCAGCACGTTGGGAGGCTGAGGAGGGCGGATCACGAGGTCAGGAGATGGAGACCATCCTGGCTAACACGGTGAAACCCCGTCTCTACTAAAAACACAAAAAAAATTAGCCGGGCGTGGTGGCGGGCGCCCGTAGTCCCAGCTACTCAGGAGGCTGAGGCAGGAGAATGGCATGGACCCCGGAGATGGAGCTTGCGGTGAGCCGAGATCGTGCCACTGCACTCCAGCCTGGGCGACAGAGCGAGACTCCATCCCCCTCAAAAAAGAAAAAAAAAAAAAAACTCCCTTTTTAGAAAGATCTTTTATTCAACTTACCAAAATTTTAATTGCCAATGGAACAGAAACCAGCACAAATAAGAACTTGTAACTTACCCAGGTACAAGTGAATTTCAATGACTGAAATTCAGGGGCATTCTAAGCAAGAATAGTTCAATAGTAACTAATCTCATTATTTTTCATTTTTATTAAGTCATATTTATTATTCATAGTGTGATTTCTCATCAAGGAGTTATTTAACATGCCAAAAGCCTCCATCTCTTTAACTAGGTCTTTATGCATAGGGAATGTTTAAGTATCCACAAAAGTAATACATACTAACCAATTTTTTAGATTTTAACATATATATTTGAAGATATGTTTTCCCCAAATGTACAGTTCTTTGTGGCCTGGATTGCCTCAGGAAACTGCCTCTGCCTGTTGTGGGTATCATGGCAAGTAAGGGCACTGGTAATTTACTGCTGAGAAAATGCCTAGCCGTTTGCCTAATTATGCCATGTCATCTTCCTCACACTACAGAGCACGGTAACCTCATTTCCAAAATCAAAGACAGAACAAATCTGAACAGCTACTGTTCCTGAGGCAAACAAGTGAATAAATTCCAAAACATGCCATGGACTCACCGACGATGAATTTTAGACAATTCTTTTTTTTTTTTTTTTTTTTTTTGAGATGGAGTCTCGCTCTGTCGCCCAGGCTGGAATGCAGTGGCGCGATGTCGGCTCACTGCAAGCTCCGCCTCCTGGGTTCACGCTATTCTCCTGCCTCAGCCTCCCGAGTAGCTGGGACTACAGGCGCCCACCACCACTCCCGGCTAATTTTTTTGTATTTTTAGTAGAGACGAGGTTTCACAATGTTAGCCAGGATGGTCTCGATCTCCTGACATTGTGATCTGCCGCCTCAGCCTCCCAAAGTGCTGGGAGTACAGGTGTGAACCACCACGCCTGGCTGGATCTTAGACAATTCTACATCGTCTGTTGAATCTATCGTCTGTTGAATCAGCTTTCTATTAACCACACACTATAGAAGTGAAACGAACCTGTACTACCAAGAGTGTGTATTAATTTTGCATGCATTTCCTAGTAAACAATGTAGACAGTATTAATTTTTATGTTGCCAAGGTAATAGTTTTGTCCCTCAACTCATATGCTAAATTTTGCCTCACCTGGCTCAGTCAGAAGGAACAGAATTGACAATATTAACTAGTCTCAGTTATCTCCACTGACAGAAAAAAAAACGTGTTATTTTCTACACTGACTGTGGGAATCAGCATTTTCTGTTATTAACTTAAGATTTTTTTTCTTGCCATTTCTCTTTATGATCCCAATGTATTGATGTATTTCTAACACTACAACAAGATTTGTGTCACTCAACTGTGTGTTGTAATCATTGTCTTTTAACCATTTATATCCATGAAACTGATGTCATTGAAAGATAGAAAACAGAAACAAAAAGCATAGAAGGGAGAGAGGGAGGAAGACTTTAGTCATGATACAATGCCAATGTAAGGACTCCTTTTAAGAAAGATTTTAAAAAATTTCTTCATCAAAATTTCCATTGCCTCCTTGAATGAACTGTGAAGGATTGCAAATTCCTTTAAAACTTGGTTTTGGCAACGAATCTGGATTTCCTTCATTAGCCAGGTATACAGAATTCATTTTCCAATGCTCTATTAAAAATAAGAGGCTGGGCACGGTGGCTCACGCCTGTAATCCCAGCACTTTGGGAGGCTGAGGCGGGTGGATCACAAGGTCAGGAGATGGAGACCATCCTGGCTAACACGGTGAAACCCCGTCTCTACTAAAAATACAAAAAATTAGCCGGGTGTGGTGGCGGGCACCTGTAGTCCCAGCTACTCAGGAGGCTGAGGCAGGAGAATGGCGTGAACCCAGGAGGCGGAGCTTGCAGTGAGCCGAGACTGCGCCACTGCACTCCAGCCTGGGTGACAGAGTGAGACTCCATCTAAAAAAAAAAAAAATAAAATAAAATAAATAAAAAAGGGAAGATTCCCTTAATGTTTCCCAGTCTATTAAAGGTTTCCTTCCAAAAGGAGCTCATTCTGATCCCATTTAGTACAACACCCTCGTGTATGCCAGATGGCACAGGCATCATAGCTTCACAAATGTCATTCTGATCCTCACCTTTAAAATGAAATTCCCTTAGTCTACCTTTCTTTACATAAACTACAAAATTGTAGACAAAGACATGCCAAATTAAAAGCCTCTTTTGCTAAATATTCTAGAAATAATTTGAGAAAAATGGGCGCAATTTGAGACCTTAGTTGTCTTGGAAAGGGAGTAGGTGGGTATTTGACTATGATTCTGGTTGGTATTTCTCCTGTTAACTATTTAAATGTGTGACCTTAAAAGAAAATCATTCAGTCTTGTTGAGACTAATAAATGTCTCACCCAAAAAAAATGAACTTAAAATTTCTCCTATGTGTCTTATAGCTCAAAAATTTTCAATTCTGTTTCAAGCCATTCTAACATCCTGGATATTTTCCTGGATATTATAATATCCAGCTTATAATCTGCATAGGTAAAGTTTTATTTGTATTATGTTCCTTAGGTTTTGTTAAGTTTCTTGCAAGTAGGTTGATATTCTTTAATGTTTAAGTATTAAATCTGAGGTGAGCTGAATAGTTACCTGTTATTGTTTTGTGTACTCAATAATTTACAGTAAAATATATTTAGAATTGTTATAGCTGGTTATTAGAAATAGAGTTTCTACCTATTGTGGTTTTTAAAGTACCTGTGGTCCAGGGGCAGTGGCTCACACCTGTAATCCCAGGACTTTGGGAGGCCAAGGTGGGCGGATCACTTGAGGTCGGGAGTTCAAGACCAGCCTAGCCAACATGGCGAAACCCCGTCTCTACAAAATATACAAAAATTAGCTGGGCGTGGTGGCACGTACCTGTAAACCGAGCTACTTGGCAGGCTAAGGCACTAGAATTGCTTCAACCTAGGAGGCGGAAGTTGTAGTGAGCCAAGATCTTGCCTCCACACTCCAGCCTGGGTGACAGAGCAAGACTCTGTCTCAAAAAAATAAAAATAAAAGTGCCTGTGTATGCAGTGGGCATTCAACAAATAGTTGTTAAATGAATAAATTAAAACCTTGAGATTTGCTAAATGCTTAAAACCCAAAAGAAAAAAATAATATTTTTAAGAAAAATATTAAAAATCATTTTAACTATAGCCATGGATAAGTACATAAGCACACAAAAAATTAATCACTGTGTTGGTAAAAACCTTATTTCAATACCTCTTTATCCTTCATACAAGAATAAATCTCTGGAAGAGAAAAGAAAAGAAAGCCGCTCTGAGCGTACCTACCTTTCTACTCTGGAGAGAAGCTCTTTTGACACAGACTGCCCCGTTTAACAGACTCCAGCTGCTGGCACTGCCTTCTGAGTTCTTTCACTTCCGAATTCTTATCGTCCTGCAGCCCCACCACAGTCAATGACTAAGTTCCTCTGGACTTTCACATGGATCGTAATAGACAACTTCATCCTGTTTTTCTAAAAAGGTATTAATGATTGTTTAAAACATATTTTATTATTTGTAAAAATGCACTCAATTTTTTTAAATGTAAGGAAAATAAAGATCACTTGTAATCCCACCACTGAGAATCACTATTAACATATAAAAAATGTATGTGTATAAATGTAATATACATATACACGTGTATATATACATGACTATACACATGTATTAAGTAGCATGTGTGTATATACATGTAAGTAGTATATGCACGTATATATACCTGTACAGACATACGTATATATACACACGCACATACACATACTACTTACATAGCTACACTTATCAATGGAGTTCTAAAAGAACATTTTCCATGGGATGGAAATAAATTTTTAGGCCAGGTGCGGTGGCTCACGCCTGTAATCCCAGCACTTTGGGAGGCCAAGACAGGCGGCACACCTGAGGTCAGGAGTTCAAGACCAGCCTGGCCAACATGGCAAAACCCCATCTCTACTAAAAATACAAAACTAGTTGGGCACAGTGGCGTGTGCCTGTAATCCCAGCTACTCAGGAGGCTGAGGCAGGAGAACAGCATGAACCTGGGAGGCAGAAGTTGCAGTGAGCCGAGATCGTGCCACTGCACTCCAGCCTGGGCAACAGAGCAAGACTCCATCTCCAAAAATAAAAAAAAATTTAAAAAGATAAATTTTAATGGCAGCATAGTATTCTCTAATTTAAGCAATCCACGTTGTTAGGCTGTTCCAATGTTCCATTATTATTCATTTCACTGTGATAAACATCTCTGTATAAATCTTTGTGTACACTTTTTATCACTTCCTTAGCAGATAAGTGTTTAAGGATCTTGATACCCATTGCCACACTGCCCTCCAGAAAGGCAACTTATATTCTACCAGCAATATATTATTAAGATGCCTTAGTGATATTTAATCTTGATTACATATTGATTTTTTAAAAGTCATGCTTACTGTAACAAATTCAAACCCTCCAGAAGTACATCAAATAAACAGTGAAATTCTATTGCTCATTCCCCAAACCTTCTGAGTCATTCTCAGAGGAAAAACATTATGAACAATTTGGCATGCATCCTTCCAGATTAACTTCTTTTTTTAATGTAATTTTTTTCCTAAATATGTAAACTGCTTATAACCTGAAACTACTGAAAAAAATTCTGAATACTCAGGATTAAACTAAAAGTTCAGGATCTATGTGAAGAAATTTATTAAACTTGGAGGAACTTTAGGAAAAAAGATTTAAATAAATGGAGAGAGACATACCATGTTCTTGGGTAGGAAGATTCAAAATTGCAAAGACCACTATTCTCCCCAAAGTAATCTCTAATTTTAAGCAAAATCACAATCAAAATTCCAAAGAGTTTTTTGTTTTGAACTTGATTCTAAATTTCATCTGGAAGAATAAAGGAGTGAAAATAGTCAGAAAACTTGTGAAGTAATGTGGGGGGTACTTGCCTTACCAGACCCTAAAATGTGCCTCCAAGACAGTCGTGGGAACAGTATGGAGCCAGCAGCAGAAGCCACTCACGAACCAATGGAGGAGAACAACTCAGAAACAGACCAAAGTCAATCTAATGCTTAACTGGAGAAATGTTAAACATTTAGGGAAAATGTTTTTAAAATCAGTGATTGGGACTGCTTAACAATTTGAGGGAAAGGTTCAATTCCTACCACATTCAAAATAAATTCCACCTGGACTAAAGAATTAAATGTTTTAAAAAGTAACATCATAAACATACTGAAAGAAAACATAAGTATATATTGACATAATTTTGGGATAGGAGCCTATTGCCAGACATAATACTAAAAGCAGAAGCCATAGGGGAAAAAATCAATAAACACGACTTCATAAAAATTAAATATTTCTGAAAGGCAAGAAAACGCAAATGACAAGGAGAGATTATTTGCAACATATGACAGACAATAGAGAATATTATTCTTAATGTCGAAAGGAAATATTCCAAAGAAAAATGGACAAAGACTATGACTAGGCATTTCATAAAATAAGTACAAATGGCTTGTAAACATACAAAATTTTGTTCAATATTCATTCATAATTAAATAAATGAAAATTGGAAGACTGCCATTTTCTCTGTCAAGCAAGCAAAAATGCAAAAAAATGGCATGAGTCTGGGAAACATACACACTCATATTCTGCTGATGGGAGCGTCTTTTTTTTTTTTTTTTTTTTGAGACAGAGTCTTACTCTGTCGCCCAGGCTGGAGTGCAGTGGCGCCATCTCAGCTCACTGCAATCTCGACCTCCCAGGTTCAAGCAATTCTCCTGCCTCAGCCTCCCAGGTAGCTGGGATTACAGGCACCCACCACCACGCCCAGCTAATTTTTGTATTTTTAGTAGAGACAGAGTTTCACCACGTTGGCCAAGCTGGTCTTGAACTCCTGACCTCAAGTAATCTGCTCCCCTCAGCCTCCCAAAGTGCTGAGATTACAGGCGTGAGCCACCACGCCCAGCCTGGGAGCGTCATTTTAAATGTACAACCTATCTAGAGGGCCACTACATAGTATGAAATTTAGAAATCAGAAAATAATACGGAGGTGAGGAAAAATGTATCTCAGATGATTGTTGTATTATTACGTAGCAAAATGTAAAATATACATTGTCCTTGACCCAATAATTCCATCCTTAGATATTTATTCTAAGGAGATAATCTGTCCTATACTCAAAAAGACATGTGTAAAGGAAAGTTCACTACACTACTGTTCAAAACAGCGGAAATTTGGAAATCACGGTATATCCATATAATGGAATACTATGCAGCCATTAAAATTTTGATACTTTTATTATTTCTGAAATAGACAATTAGTATGTATTAAATGAAAAAGAGACTATTATGCATTGTATGCCTGTGTCAAAATATCTTATGTAACCCATAAATATATATATCTACTATGCACCCATAAAAATTAAAAAATTTTTAAAAAGATGTTACTGAACTGGTTATGTAGTTTTGGTTAAAAATTTATATTTTTATATATCAGCATATTTTAAAATCTACAAAGTTATACAGCAAATTGTTACCACTAAGTATCTCTTTTTTTTTTTTTCTTTTTTAGACGGAGTCTCGCTCTGTCTTCCAGGCTGGAGTGCAGTGGCACGATCTTGGCTCACTGAAACTTCCACCTCACGGGTTCAAGCCATTCTCCTGCCTCAGCCTCCCAAGTAGCTGGGATTACAGGCACGTGCCACCACATCGGACTTTGTATTTTTAGTAGAGACAGGGTTTAGTATTTTTGTATTTTTAGTAGAGATGGGGTTTCACCATGTTGGTCAGACTGGTCTGGAACTCCTGACCTCAAGTGATCCGCCCGCCTCAGCCTCCCAAAGTGCTGGGATTATAGGCGTGAGCCACTGTGCCCAGCCAAACACTAAGCATCTCTAGATGATGGGATTGGAGTAATAATCATTTTTCTTTCTTTGTTTTGCTATGTGCTAACAATGAATATATTATTTGAATAATAAACTACTGAAGGAAAACTTTAGGAAATTTTCAGATGTTACAGTTTACAAAAAGTAATTGATAATATGGTCTGTATTTCCTTAAATTTATAAACATTGTAATCTATATACTTAAATATAAACTTTACCTTTTATAAGTCTTTTAAGAGAGTCCAACTGTGTAGTAAGCAGTATTTCTTCGTTTTTTAATATCTCAAATTTAACTTCATATAGTTCTAACTGAATTTCATAAAATTGCATTTCTAATTCATCTAC
This sequence comes from Homo sapiens, assembly GCF_000001405.40. NCBI lineage: Eukaryota > Metazoa > Chordata > Mammalia > Primates > Hominidae > Homo > Homo sapiens. The sequence continues at coordinate 2,045,322 of NW_012132920.1, forward strand.
AACATTTATATTTTTTTCTTGTTCTGGAAGATCTTCCATCTTATTTTCATAGAAAAAAGAAAAATAAGTTAAAATAAATAGTATATTAAAAACAAACTTCAGAAGCATTCTAGCTATTTTCTATTCCTTGTTCAATACTAAATATAAAAAAGCAAATAGGAAAGAAACACTTTTTCATTTCATCTAGTGATGCTAATATTTTATCTCATCCTTGAAACAGAAAAACATTTAGGTTTTGAGAAACATAAATGGCAATGAGGTATTATTATGTATTGCATATTGGTGTCCCCACAAAATTCATATGTTGACACTCTAACTCCCAATGTGATGTTATTTGGAGGTGGGTCCTTTGGAAGTAATTAGGTTCAGATTATGTCAAAAGGATAGCACCCCCATCATGGGATTAGTGCCATTAGAAGAGAAAGACAGGGATCACTTTCTTTCTCTCTAAACTTACACACAGAAGAAAGGCTATATGAGCACTCAGTTAAGAAGGCAGCTGTCTACCAGACAGGAAGAGGATCCTCACCGGACAGTGAATCTGCAGGCATCTTGGACTTCCCAGCCTCCAGAACTGTGAGAAATACATGTCCGTTGTTGAAGCCACCCAATCTGTGATATTTAATCTTGTTATAGCAGCCTTAGCCAACTAAGACAGGTGGTTACAGTGTTTTCTGCTTTAAGGTCATAAGATTATAGGAAAAAACTTAAGTGTCTATGATCCTTCAGTGAAGTATCTCTTTGATTATTTTAAAGCTGTACTGAAAACATTGCTGGATTGATATTCAAGTACAGTACCCACTTCAATACTGGGCTCGGTGTTACTATAAAGTAAATCCTATAATATGGTATTTTGAAACATCTTAACTAAAGGAAAACTTTATGTCTAACCTCCCATAGAAGATAGTGTTAGAATAAGTGAAGAAAAGAAGCTCTTTAACGATGCCTGGAAAGAAAAGTGCTATCTAAAAATAAAAGTGTGCTTTACCACATGGTCTCACTTATAAGTGGGAGCTAAGTAGTGTGTATACACACACAGTGTGGAATAATAGACACTGGAGACTCAGAAGAGTAAGAGGGTGGGAGGGAGGATGAGAAATATTTAGTGGGTACAATTACATTATACAGGTGAAGATTACACTAAAAGCCCAAACTTCACCACTACACAATATATCCATGGAACAAAACAGTACTTGTATCCCTTATTTACACAAACTTTTTAAAAAATAAAAGTGGGGCCAGGCATGGTGGCTCACACCTGTAATCCCAGCACTTTGGGAGGCCGAGGCGGGCGGATCACGAGGTCAGGAGATCGAGACCAGCCTGGCTAACACAGTGTATCCCCGTCTCTACTAAAAATACAAAAAATTAGCTGGGCGTGGTGGTGGGCGCCTGTAGTCCCAGCTATTCGGGAGGCTGAGGCAGGAGAATGGCATGAACCCGGGAGGTGGAGCTTGCAGTGAGCTGAGACTGCACCACTGCGGTACAGCCTGGGCAAAGGAGCGAGACTCCGTCTCAAAAAAAATAAAAAAATAAATAAAATAAAATAAAAGTGTAGTTTTAAAACAAAGTTACGTTTATCTTTGTCTTACCTTTCCCTGAATTTCAGCTCTTTTGCGATTTAAATACAATTCTTTCGCTCTCATGAGTTGCAGAGTCTCTTGAGCTAGCATTAGCTTAAGTTTTTCCAACCTGGGAATTGCTGTGGCCCAGGCAGCCTGGCCAAATCTCTTCACATCCTGTTCCATTTCTTTTTGCATTCCTGTTGGATTATAAAAATAAAATATAATTACACCTCATTAAAAAGGGAAACATTGATCATGAGCTAATTCTTTTTTTATTGCTTCCATACTACCTGCAGAACATCTTTTTTAAAAGAAATTTTGTTTTATTAACTTTTTTATTATTATAAAAATAATACATGGTCATTAATATACAATTTTAGGTATTCAATTTTTAAAAGGACAATAATAAGTCATGATCTCACCTAGTTGAGGCAACTGCTTCTTATATTTTGGCACACTTGCTTCCATATTGTTTCTATGTCTAGCTAGACAGACAGGCTCATATGGATAGTTTGACCAAAAAACCAGGATTATCATTCTGCTTTATATCTTGTTGATTCTGCACAATATATCAGACACTCTTGCCATTTATAAAAAAAATCAAGAATCATGCTTAATAGCTATGTAGTTTTCTCTTTTATGAATGTACCATAACTTAACAAACTGACAGACATTAAGTTGTTTCCTATTTGGTGTTTTTATTAACAATTATTTAAGACTGAAAAAAAGTCCTTCACCCAGCCCGCAAGCCCCTGCACGGTCTGATCCCTGCCTGTCTTGCCAGCATTCTCCCTCGTGCCACACTGTCCTGCACTCTGTGTGATCCAGCCCTGCAGGTTTTCTGTAAGCTCCTATTTGCCAACTTCCCTCAAGCCAGGGGACCTTTACCAGTGCTATTCCTTCTGCCCGGAACACTCCTCACTTTTTCTATTCTCTCAACTTCCGTTTACCCTTCAGCTACTGGGGCAAGCACCACTTCTCAGAGGCCTTCAGCGACCACCCTGATCAAGCCCAATTTCTCTCTCACAGACCCTCAGAGCCCGATGTCTCTCTTCTTTGTGCCATTTATTGTCACTGCCATTTTCCATGTGCTTCAGTGAATAGATAATTAAGATTTCTCTCCCTTCACCAGACTGTACAATGTCTCTTAATGCTTGACACTGAATTCTTGCCACCCAGAAAACACAGTGCCTAGTGCGTAAGAGGGACTCAAATGGTATATGAATAAAATGACAATCAATTACACGTATCTGCGTAAAGCATTTTTTAGATTATCACCTGCTAATGCTTTTACTGTCTAATTAAAATAATTCACTGTGATATCTTGAATAGAGACAACAGCTTCTTCAGCCCGTCTGGTCCATTCTTCAGCTTCTTTCTCCAGGGCAACTATCCTGGAGACGTAGGACCTACGTCATCCTCATCCAAGGAATTCTACAGACAGAAGAGAAAATTATCTTACTAAGAGCTAATAGTTATGTTGACCCATTAGGAAATTGAAAGGAAATTGGTCACATGGATTAATTTAACTACAGTACTACTCAGTCAGTTAAATTTTCATTCATTCAGCAGTCCCTTACTGCATATGAATAAGGCTCTAAGCTGAGCACCACCTGGAAGACAAAAGGACACTCTGGGGCATAAAGGGGAAAAAAAAACCTACTTTCACTTCACATGCCTAGAATAACTTTTTCTAGAGAGGAATGTTGTCAACTTATGCTTCTCTCTATTAATAATAATACACAATTGTTTAAATGAGTGATCTGTGTTGTCAAGCACTCAGCATAGGGCCTGGAACACAGCACTTAAGTGTTAGCTGTTGTTATCGTTTCTTTTAGGGATATGTAATATAATCACCTAAAAGACAGTATCTGTATATTCATGCTTATAACATGCACTGGTATTGGACTGAATGTTTGGGTCCCCCCAAAATGCATATGTTGAAGCCTAAATCCCCAGTGTGATGGTATTTGAAGATGGGGCCTTTGGGAGGTAATTAGGTCATGAGGGTGCAGCCCTCAAGAATGGGATTAATGCCCTTATAAAAAGAAGAGGAGACACAGGATCTCTCTCTCTGCTCTTCACCATGTGAAGACACAGCAAGACAGTCATCTACAAATTAAGAAACTGGCCCTCACAAGACACTGGATCTGCCAGCACCTTGATCTTAGACTACCCAGCCTCCAGAACTGTGAGAAAAAAAGTTTTGTTGTTTATAAGCCACTAATCTACGGTACTTTGTTATAACAGCCTGAACTAAGACATGTACAGCTATGTCATCCAATATGCAATTTTTCTTCTACAAAGCATAAGAAATATGTACAAGTTAGCCGACAAGGAATTACAAATCAAAACCATAACGAGATACCACTTCACACCCACTAGGATGGCTGTAACCAAAGAGACACACAATTACAAGTGTTGGTGATAATGTGGACAAATTGGAACCCTCATTTACTGCTTTTGGGAATATAAATGAGGCACCCACTTTGGAAAACCATCTGGCGTCTTTCAAAAGGTTAAACATTGAGTAATCACAGGACCCAGCAATCCTACTACTCAGTACGTACACAAGAGCAATGAAAAGATATGTCTACACAGAAACTCACACACAAACATTCATAGCAGAATTATTCATGATAGCCAAAAAGTGGAAACAACCCAAATGTCCATCAACTGATGAATAAAATGCAATATATCCATACAATGAATATTACTGAGCAATAAAAAGAAATGAAATCCTGGTATTTGCTACAACATGGATTAGTCTTGCAAACACTGTGCTGAGTGAAAGGACCACATATTCAATAATGCTGTTGCTATGTCCAGAGTAGGGAAATCCACAGAGACAGAAAGTAGATTGGTGGTTGCCCAGGGTTGGGAGTGACTAATGGGTACAGGGTTTCTTTTGGAGGTGAAAATGTCCTGAAATTACATAGTAATGACCATTGTGCAACTTTCAATATACTAAAAATCACTGAATTGTACATCTTTTATATATACATATATACACATACATATACATACACATACACATACATATACACATATATACACATATACACACATATATACACATATATATACATACATATATTCATAAATATATACATATATATATATATAATCTGTGAATGGTATCTTAAAACAGCTGTTACTTAAAGAAAGGAAAAATATAGACCGGGTGCGGTGGCTCATGCCTGTAATCCCAGCACTTTCGGAGCCTGAGGTGGGCAGATCACCTGAGGTCAGGAGTTCAAGACCAGCCTGACCAACGTGAAGAAACCCCATCTCTACTAAAAAAATACAAAATTAGCCAGGCCGGGCATGGTGGCACATGCCTGTAATCCCAGCTACTCGGAAGGCTGAGGCAGGAGAATCGCTTGAATCCAGGAGGTGGAGGTTGCAGTGAGCTGAGATCACGCCATTGCACTCCAGCCTGGGCAACAAGAGCGAAACTCCATCTCAAAAAAAAAAAAAAAAACAGAAGAAGAAAGCAAAATATATGCAAGAAGTAGACTCTCCAAATAATAGACTTTCAAAATAATGAACAGAACAACTTTATCCACAGGTTAGAGTGGCATGAGTTTCATCTAAATGTGATACTATTTTTATAGTACAATCATCTGGCAGGGGGCATGAGATTATATGTGGAAAGATGGCCCAGTGCAGGGGGCAGAAATCAAGAGATCTCTTAGGTGTCTTCTGATTCCCGTTGTTGAGACCCAAGGTAAGATATTTAACAACTCTGGACTCCAGATTCATTTGTAACACTGGAATAAGAATGCCTTTTCTGAATGGGGTCACACGGTTGTTTGATGGCTCAATGAAACAAGAGCGATAACAGCATTTACTAAAATTTAAGTTACTGAATTACAATCTAGGGTCCTGCTATTTAAATTTTCATCCTATTTTAAGAAATTTGGATGAGTCCTTAGAGGAAAACAAACTGAAGCAAATAAATATCACATCAAAAACAATTCATCAGGCTGGGCGCAGTGGCTCACGCTTGTAATCCCAGCACTTTGGGAGGCTGAGATGCGTGGCTCACTTGAGGTCAGGAGTTTGAGACCAGCCTGGCCAACATGGTGAAACCCCGTCTCTACTAAAAATACAAAAAAAGTTAGCTGGGCATGGTAGTGCACACCTGTAATCCCAGCTACTCAGGAGGCTGAGGCAGAAGAGTCACTTGAACCTGGAGGAGGTTGCAGTGAGTCAAGATTGTGCCACTGCACTCTAGCCTGGCTGACAAAGAGAGACCCTATCTCAAAAAAAAAAAAAAAAAAAAAAAAAAGGCATCGATACAAAAAAACTCTTAACTCTTTAAAATCTGCAGGAATCTTAAGCTAGTAAGATGACCAACATAAATGTCTTCATTTTCTATCAATTTTAAATATAAATTCAATATTTAAACATGAGGGTGAACTAGGCATAGTGGCTGACGCCTGTAATGCTACGCTTTGGGAGGCCGAGGTGGGCAGACTGCTTGAGCTCAGGAGTTAGAAACCAGCTTGAGCAACATGGCAAAACCTCATCTCTATCAATAAATAAGTAAAGAAACATAAAAGTAAACCCAAACAAAGTGCAGAGATTGAACATTAAGTGTAAATAAAAAAATAATATATGACAAATAGTAAATGTGATAAAATAAAAATTAAAAAAAATACCAAAATATCAAGCTTACATAAAGTTGCAACTTCTCGCATAGCCCTAAATGGCTGCAGTAAGTACTGGAAAAACATGGTTGCCATGGTAACTAATTCCTGGTAGGCTTCATCTTCCTCTTGGTAAACTTTCATTAATGCTACCATGGTGTTGGCTTTTCCATGTCCTTGGATAACCTAGAGAGCAAATGTGAATAAAGCTCAAGTCAGACAGTGTAATACATACCCAACAAACAAAACTAAACAAAAGAAACCTTCATGTTCTCAACTTTCAATACATCAATTTAAAATATTGATTAAATATGAAAATGTCATCATCCTCCATCAAAAATGCCCAATAAAACAAGAATTGTTAAGTAAATTATGATATATCCATGGCAGAATATTATTACTGTAGTCATTCAGCACTGTGCTTCTGAAGATTGTTTAATAATATGGAGACTTTTGGCCAGGCACCGTGGCTCACGCCTGTAATTCCAGCACTTTGGGAGGCCGAGGCGGGTGGATCACTTGAGGTCAGGACTTCGACACCAGCCTGACCAACATGGAGAAACCCTGTCTGTACTAAAAATACAAAATTTGTTGGGCGTGGTGGCGCATGCCTGTAATCCCAGCTACTGGGGAGGCTGAGGCAGGAGAATAGCTTGAACCCGGGAGGCGGAGGTTGCGGTGAGCCGAGACAGTGCCATTGCATTCCAGCCTGGGCAACAAGAACGAAACTCTGTTTCAAAAAAAAAAAAAAGGAGACTTTTATAATTAAATGGAGAGGCAGAGTACAAAATTTAATCTCAACTATGCACTAAGTATGCAGCGAAAAGGACCCAAAAGAAGGTTTGAGGTGTGGATATTTTTTCATTTGACTTTTCTGACTGTGAAGGTTTTGTGAGGCTGTATTCCTTTTTAAAAGCTCCTAAGGGCCAGGCATGGTGGCTCACACCTGTAACCCCAGCACTTTGGGAGGCCACGGCAGGCAGATCACGAGGTCAGGAGATTGAGACCATCCTGGCTAACACGGTGAAACCCTGTGTATACTAACAATACAAAAAATTTGCTGGGCGTGGTGGAGGGCACCTGCAGTCCCAGCTACTGGGGAGGCTGAGGCAGGAAAATGGGGTGAACCTGAGGGGCAGAGCTTGCAGTGAGCCGAGATGGCGCCACTGCACTCCAGCCTGGGCGACAGTGCAAGACTCTGTCTCAAAAAAAAAAAACAAAAAACCTCATAAAACATTACAGAGCTGTCTCCAAGTACTTTAGCATGTTGATTCTCTTAATGCCCCAGGTTAATATCCCCATGAAGTCCTTAGCAGTCAACTCATTTACAGAGCCTCAGCTGTGGTTCCAGTCTCTGCTGGTTATTGCTTGTGCTGCAGGGCAGAAAACAAACTGAACAGTGTATAATCTAGGTGGACTGATTTGGTTGGAAATTATTTTACTCCCACAAGAAGAGAAATAAAAATAAAATAATATAGATGTTTTTCAACCAATACATTCTTAAAATTCTTCTATTTCCATCCTTCTGCTTAAAGATAAAGTGATCTACTTTCAGCTGTATTTTTTATCCAGGTAATAATATTATGGTTTTTTTTTTAAGTGAAAGCCCCACTGAACAAAATTAAAACACACACGCAAAAGTAAACTTAAGGCAAGTGATACACTTCAGCCTTATTTCTTAGACTATTCAGAAAAATTCCAGAGTTAAAACATTCAGCTTCATTTTATATATGCTAGCAATGCTAGCAATTAGTCTAATTCTAGAATCAATTGCTTTTCTATTTTAAATATAAAGTAAAATATTAAAATTATATATTTGGACATGTTTTGAATTTTAGCTTCCCCTCTCAACCCCTCATTTTTGAGTTCCAGATAAATATGTGAACTACACTAACATGAACAACTAGCTCAACAGAATGAACTACATTCACGCTATAGTACCCCAGAGTGAACTTAAATTTGGGAAAACTAACTTTTCTGATAGTAACTACAGTAAAATGCATCATATAAATGTTCGATTTTAAGGAGAAACCACCTATCTCTGTGAGAAACCAAGAGTGTAAAAAACAAGTCTGATACAAAATGATACCATTTTTGAAACTCCGGTGGGCTCGTCATATCCTAAGGTGAAAGTTATAAAGTTGAAGATCAAAAGCTGACTGGCCTGAAACTCCCCTGTGGTTTCCTCATAGTCTAAAGTGAAATCAACACATGTTAAGTGGGTGTGTAGACATTTACACATAAAGCTCACAGTACAAAAATGACCCCACTAACAAGCTCCTTTTATAAAACCATTTTAATTTAGAAAGCTTATTCTATATTTAGCTTAGGCTGAATTCTTCTTTTCACCTCCCCTTCCTCAAAAGAATGCACAGAAAAAAATCATTCAGGTTAATAAGAGCAGTGAGCCGAGACTCCAGCCTGGCTCTGCTTAGTAAACCGTGGGTGTGGATTTAGAAGGCATACTTTCTCCTAAACCCTTCTATGAACATGTACTTCCCCGTCCCCTAAGTTCAGTAAGTTTACCACTCAATTACTCTCTCAAACTACCTCTTTCAAGCTTAAAAGAGCACTAATGCGGTTAAACTGATGAATAAAGCTCACTTTCTACCGGCTTTCCATTTGACCAAGTCTGTATTACTTAAAACAAAACACCCTAACTCCTAAAAGCCATTTCTTCCTTTAAACCATTTTATCCCACTTGCGACGTCCCCGCAGACACAGACTTGGAATTGCTTACGTGTAGTCCGTGTTATTCTTTCCTACATGGATGGGTTGTTTTCAGTTTGCTTGCAGTATTTCTGACATTTCCCGTTACAACATCCTGCTCTGCCAGCATCTTCAGGGCAAAGGTTGGGGGCCTAGCCCAGCTCCCAGCGGCAAGTACACTAGGCTCTTAACTTCGCTTGTCCTCTCTGCAGGCCCTGCCGAAGCTCCCCCTGGTTTCCCGCAGCGATCCCGCGCAGGTGAGGGTACTGGGGAGCCCGTGGCCTTCTCCGCCCGCCGGCTCCTCCCCATCAGCCGTCAGCCAGGGCTCTCGGCGCCGGGGAAGCCTCCCACAGGGTCCCAGGCCACCCAAGCGCGGTCAAACGCCGGCGGCCCGGCCTCGCTTACCTGACGCAGCCGCGCGTCCGCCTCGACCCATCAGGCGCGCAGGGCCCGCTCTCGAAACTCGCGCGGGCTCTCGCAGTCAGCCGCGCGGCCTTTAGCCGCGAAAACAGCGAGGCGCACGGTGGCGCCGCCGCAGCCGTGGGCCGCCGCGCCCAGGTAGCGCTCCAGCTGCCCGCAAAGCTCCTGCAGCGCCACCTCGCCGGGGCCCGCGCGCGCCTGCCAGAGCAGCGCCCACAGCCCGAGCCCCAGACTCCAGGCCCCGCCGCCGCCCACGTCCAGCTGCGGGGAGCAGCGTTCCAGAGGCGGCCACAGCGCCGCTAGCTGCCAGCGCGCGCCGCGGAACCCTGCGGCCGAGAACCGGCCGGCCCAGTTGGGCGGGAACACGGCAGCTGGGCGGGGACACGGCAGCTGGGCGGGGACACAGCGGCCTTGGGTTTGGGCTCCAGCCCCAGCCGGGCCCCCTCGCGCCGCTGCGGCTGCTGCGCGGTGAGGTCGTGACAAGTCACAGCTAACTTGCCCTCCGCGCCATTCCACGCCACCAGGAAGCGCAGCCGGTGCCTCTCGGCATCGGCGAAGAGGCCTTGCCGGACCGGCGCCCAGCCCTCCAGGCTGTCGAGCTGCTCGTCCTCCATGGCCGTCGGCGGCAGCGGCCCTAGGACTCGGCGGGCGCGGGCCTGACCTCGTCGCACTGCCTGTCAGGGGACAGTCCCAGGTGAAGCATTTTTCGCTCCACTATTGGTATTTTAACAACATGAATGAAAAAAAAAAAAAAAACTCAGCTGTTTTGATAGAAGTAACAAACGTGCCTAGGAATCATCTTCCTTGAAGGGAGAGGAGGGTCTTGTTGAACTTGAAAAAACTAAATAAGCAAAGTTGATACATAAGGACACCCTTCTCTTTACCCTTACCTATTCTTCTCTTAAAACTTTAATTCATTTCTGACAGTCACCAACTGAAAAACGGTCCGACTAAAAAAAAAAAAAAACTGATCATAAAGGGGGGAGAAGTTGTGACGTGTTCTATCCTAATCCAAGATATCTAAACCAATTTTGCTGATAGAGAAAATATATTCGGTGAATGATGTAAGTACATTAATATAGGTAACAACTCTTTGAAAGTAAAGTTTGCACATAATATGAAATACAAAGAGAATTACTGTAGTCTCGAAGGAGAGAACCCTTGATGGGGAGTGGTAGTCAAAAAGGTGTATGAGCAAGTCATCTGTTGCAAGGTGATGGGAGGAGATTTTTATGCAGGCATTCAATATCAGAGTCAGAGGTTTTAATGATTTTTGTTTTTTATCTTGAGAGTTGGAGACTAGAAGATCTAAAATAGGAAATTTCTGGCATATCCATAGATAGAATGGAAACTCTTGGCCAAAAATAACGTGCTCCAAGTCATGAAAAATAGCACACATGCACAATTAACTACAGAGTTACACAAGATGGTGTCTTTTCATTCGATTTTATTTGAACTCTTATTCTTCTCTTTTATGCTCTGTATCCTTGTTAACTCTTCCATTTTTTCCTCATCCTATGAGGTACTTTAAACATTTTATTCAATAACTCTTAAGGCAATTTTTACAATTCTATTCATATATAAAACTGTCATAAGCATGTTTTGTGAGTGAAAAATTCTAATTTGTAATGCATATCAAGTGAAAAGCCTCAGTTCAGCACTCGTCATATCCAAAATCTGTGTTATATGATAATGTAAAAGAAATATTTTCACACATGTAGCTCAAATGAGATTCTTAGTTACATGTTTCTTTTTTTTCTTTTCTTTTCTTTTTTTTTTTTTTGAGACGTAGTCTCGCTCTGTTGCCTAGGCTGGAGTGCAGTGGCGCAATCTCGGCTTACTGCAAGCTCTGCCTCCCGGGTTCATGCCATTCTCCTGCCTCAGCCTCCCAAGTAGCTGGGATTACAGGTGCCCGCCACCACGCCCGGCTAATTTTTTGTATTTTTAGTAGAGACGGGGTTTCACAGTGTTAGCCAGGATGGTCTCTATCTCCTGACCTCGTGATCCGCTCGTCTGGGCCTCCCAAAGTGCCAGGATTACAGGCGTGAGCCACCACGCCCGGCCTACATTTTTCAAAATTTAACTCAATCTTTTATGTTTAAAAATGTGCATATACTGCCTGTTCAAGTACTTAATCTTTGTATTTATTATTTGAAATTGGAAGTCCATCTTTTTAGATTGTTAGGAGGACTTCACATATTTGAATGAGTTATTAAGTTGATACAACTATTTTGGAAAAATAATTATCATTATCTACTAAATTTAAACACATAATTTATGACCAGCAGTTTCAACAGAGACACCTGGATGTTCATCAGGATAGAATGGATTGGAAAGCTCCATATTCATTCAACAGGGTGCTACACAAAACAAAAAGGAATGAAACACTGGTCCATAACATAAATAGATTTCACAAATGCAATTTTGAGTGAAATAAGCCAGAAAAAAATAAATACCGTATGCTTCCATTTATATGAAGACAAAGATAGGCAATATTAATCTATGGTAACATGTGAGACTGACTGACTTTTCTCAGCATCAGCTAAGAGCCTGAAAAATATTTTTCTGGGGTGCTAAAAAAGTGCCAGATTTTAAAATATTTGTACAAAAGATAATATTTGTTTTTTTATATAAATAGGTACAAAATACAAATATGGGCAAAAATGTATTTATAAATATGTTAAACAAGATTATTTATAGTTTATACTTCAATATAATTTTTTTCACTTTTGTTGACATTAGTAAACCATCACACTTAATAAACAGCCATTTGGAATGGTTCTTGATTTAGGTATTTCCTTGATCAAGTACCAAGTAGGAACATACCTTGATTCTAAAATATAAAGAATATGATTCCATGAAAGTTTCCATGAAAACTATCTTGCATTCTAAAATATTTTTAAAAGTACTTATTTTCAAAGTTCATTTTCCTATTTTAAACAAAAGTTGAACTAAATTACATATAATCTAGTCCCCAAAGTATTCAGTAAATATCAAATGAAGGTGTGAAAGTTAAAGATTTCAATTTTTTACTAGTTAATTTGCAGTGCTCTATTATTTTGCTTAATAAGCAATTTTATGCTAGAAATAAGCAGATTTCTCTATTCACATCATCTTTACCAAGAGCACTTAAATAAATACCATTGATTACTTGCAAAATGCAGATTGTAGATTCAGAGCTCAAAACTAAAGCTCTGAGGATGTAATTCAATTAAAACAACCCATAGTTGTGAATTCACCTCACCAGTGTCCCTAAGACAAGAAGCTCTTTCTCACATCAAAGTGAATTATTTTAATTCACTTTGGATGTTAGGAATATCCTAACTCCTTTGTAATTAAAAACAAAAACAAAACTTCTGATGCTTCTTTATACCTTAACAATTATGAGGTCTATAACAATATGAACACAGAAGTTTGGGTCAGTTCAATGACTGAACTAAAACATTGTTTCCCAACATGTCCATGTTTTACAAGATGATGGGGTTGTTATCTGTGATGCCATTGCAAAGATCTTGATGGTTCCAAAACACTCTAAGCATCACATAAGCCATGTTATACCTGTCGCCCCAAATTTACCAAACCATTTGGATTAAAACTCTCAGTAAGGACCTCTGAGGCACAAAGATCTATGAATAACTCCTTAACCCCTTTGCTCTTACTCTTCAGGTACGATTTCAAATTTTCACTTTTCCCTTTCTGCACTGACCTTGGGAAAGTCACTTTATCTCTGTGATCTAATTTTCCACATCAATAATGTATCTATACTTGGCATAGAGAGTTATGAGAATAAAATAATAACATATATGGGAGATTTCTGTGAATACCAATTGTACAGGTGGATTTTTAAATAATAGATTTAGGGCCAGGCGCAGTAGCTCACAGAAGTAATACCATCACTTTAGGAGGCCGAAGCGGGTGGATCACCTGAGGTCAGGAGTTCAGACCAGCCTGACCAACAAGGTGAAATACTGTCTCTACTAAAAATACGAAAATGAGCCAGGTGTGGTGGCGGGCACCTGTAGTCCCAGCTACTCAGGTGGGTGAGACAGGAGAATTGCTTGAACCCACAAGGCGGAGGGTGCAGTAAGCCGAGATCGCGCCACTGCACTCCAGCCTCGGTGATGAAGCGAGACACCATGTAAAAAACAAACAAACAAACAAATAAAATATATTTAGGAAAATTATTAATAAGAAAAAAATTGAAAGCGTTAAGAACTCTATTATGGACTGAACAAAAAAAGGAGAATTGGTACCATACCTTGGTAAGTTTATTTTGATAAGCACAATTTCTATTAGTTCCTCAGTGTTTCTTCTTGCTCCCTGAATGTATGTTCCTTGCCTCTATCTTATCCCATTTTTTCTATTGTTAATGCATAGAGAGTTGTCACAAGTTCTATTCTCAATGCCTATTGCATCAGGCAATAGAAGATGACTCTGGTTCCCAACTCAGAAAAACCTCATTTTTAAGAAATGTTTGAGCTTTGACTTTGATCTCATTCAGAATATTCTGGTTCAAAAGTTTTTTGTTTTTTTTGTTTTTTTTGAGACGGAGTCTCGCTTTGTCGCCCAGGTTGGAGTGCAATGGCGCGATCTCGGCTCACTGCAAGCTCCGCCTCCCGGGTTCACGCCATTCTCCTGCATCAGCCTCCCTAGTAGCTGGGACTACAGGCCCCTGCCACCACGCCTGGCTAATTTTTTTTTTTTTGTATTTTTAGTAGAGACGGGGTTTCACCGTGTTAGCTAGGATGGTCTCAATCTCCTGATCTCGTGATCCGCCCGTCTCGGCCTCCCACAGTGCTGGGATTACAGGCGTGAGCCACCACGCCCGGCACAAAAGTCTTATGTTTGTGTAAATAAGAAAAGCACCTTTGAAAACTACACCTACAAATGGGAATATGGAATAAAAAGGACAAGCCAAAGGTTATGGAACAAAATAAAACATGAAGAAAGAGAAATAGAAACACAATATTACTATATACAATATAGTAATGTATTTTAAAATATGAAAAACGCTAGCAAAACAGCAATATGTGAACAAAAGAATTGGAGTAAAATAATAGAATTTGAAACAGCACAATCTGCTGAAAATACACAAAAGACAAACTAGGATATTTCTGAGCTCACTGTTTATAATATTAGAACATGTATATAAAAAGGAAAAGTGACTTTAAAATGTCTGGGGGCCAAGCAATATATAGCTTGTTACATTTTATTTACAAACAGTTTCTTTGACTAGGGAATCAATTTAAATTTTCTGTTTTGGAAATAATATAAATATATCTTTATTTTAGACTTTTTGCTGAAAAGTTTCTTAAATATTTACAACTTTAGGATAATCAGTGTACATTTCAATATATAATGTCCTAAAAATCAAACAGCTACCAAACATTGAATTGAAGTTCTGACTTATATAAATCATTTGCATAAAAACTGATCATTAAAAACAGTATCTAATGAACATTTTGGCCCCAATATTAATTAAAACTGAAATGATAGCATTACAAGCTAAAGATTAATTTCAATGACATGTCGTTCAACCATTTTGACATAATCGACTTATAATAAGCTAAAATTGACTATTTTTATGACATATTTGACCTAAATGAAGAGAAAAAAGCTTTGACTAATTCTTAATTACTCTTTCTGACCAATTGATGGCCAATAACTGAATTTAATTTCAAACCATTTTCTGTTATTTTAATCTTTTAAACATGTTTTACTTTCAGTGATTCATTTTCTAACATTCATAGCCAAAGCCCAGGCTCTGCCCATCTTTGTCTACCTTAATGACTTTGTCAATTGTTGGTATACACTGGGCCTTAAAAACTTGTGTTTCTTCCGAATTAATTAATGAAGTAGAATTGCTCTTATAGGGTTTCATATACCATTACCTCCAAAAGAGTACATTAGAAGTATTAGAAAATACTGATATTTATAAACAGATATTTATCTTATGATACAAAGAGCTAGAGCTGTTTTATTTTCTGTAAAACTAAGAATAACTTCTTGATAACATAGCTTCACAAAAAGAAAACCCAACACATTTGCATAAATAATTCTCTGAAATAACTATGTGTTTGTAACTTTTTATATACATGAGGATATACATATACTTATACATCTATACATATATATGTAACATAAAGGATATTAACATTAGGACTGTTTAATGTCTATTTGTCTTGGAAAGAAAAATATACTTAAAAATATTTCTCAATTGGGATTTGTAATCGTACCGACTTAATTGATAAACTTGGCGACTGCTTTTATGCTCTGTCTCCTTCCATAAATTTTTTAAAATACTAATTCAACAAAGAAAAAGCTCTAATGTTCATTGGAAATAATTTATAGACTTTTTTAGAGCAGAGAAAAATTAAGAAAAACTTTGAAATGGTCTCAAAAAATTACTATTTTCAGTGGAAAACTAAATGTTAGTTTAACTGATTGTATGGGGTTTCTGAACCTTTCACTTTTTGTTTGTTTTACCTATTTCACAACTGTGTAAATTGCAAATAATTCCTGTCCATGAAAATACAAATTATCCAGTGTAGATATATTTGACTGTCACCCTATAGATATTGGCTAATTTTGCCTTTATTAAGCAAATTCATTTCAGCATGAATGTCTGCCTGTATATTCTCTGCTCTTTGTATTCTCCTTTGAACCAGTCAGAACATCCTGTGGTACTCTTATTTATTAATCAGTTAAATAAAATCATGAACATATATTCATTTTACATTTGTATGAGAACCATTAATTTTCTTTTCTTTAAAAAAATTAATTATCCTTTGACATTGGGTTGACATTTTCTTAAGACTTGCCATAAACAGAGGATATCAAGTTTCTCAAGGTCAGTTCTAGAGGAAAAAAAAATTCTTTATAAAAATTTAGCCTCATGTGTAACAGTTTCCATTCCCATAGCAATGACATTTGATATACATTGTATATATTAATCTGGGAATGATGTAAGATTCCAAGTATAATTTTATCAGTGAACTCAACTACTTGATTACTTTCACTTATTTAAATATCTAGTTCAATGTTGTCCAGTGGCATTGTGGATTTAGGTAATTTTACCAGGCAGCCGTTCAATTTCTGCACTTTCTGTTTGCCCATGCAGAACACAACACATTTTATAAGTCAAAGTATAGGCATCTGGTGGCATAATTTTAATTTGTTATCAAATAAAAGCCTCATCAAATTAGTCTAGAAAATAACTCATTATTTACTTTATTTTAGGACTGTATCACTATGTAATGAGATACAAATACATGTAAGCGTTAAGTGCCTAAGAGGCATCCAGAGAGCCTAAGATGTATGCAGTATGCCTAAGAGGAATGCAGAGAGCCTAAGATGTATGCAGTATGCCTAAGAGGAATGCAGAGAGCTTCATTTTCATTGTCAGCTGCTCAGTTGTTTCTCAGGAAATAAATGTGGCCAACTGACACCATTTAAGAGATATAAAGCAACAAGTTTAGAAAATTCTCATAAATGGGAGTGGCTAATGCATAGACAATAGCATTGACCTTTGATCCATGTATATATATATATTTAGATACATACCTCAAAAACATTTGGGTCAATTTAATTGTGAGTACTATAAACTACAAATGAAAGTAAAAAAGCAAATCTGTTGGTATTTTAGAAGAATGAAAGATTATTAACTCATGGCCTGTATGTATTTGGAATGAGAAGGACATACATAGCTTTCTTTGGATGGGGTGGAATTGAAATTGTGATTTACAGTGACTAAAACCTGACTGCTTTCACATTTTTTTTTCACTGTTGGGGGTGAAATTCTTGATTGATTCATGCATTGGGAACTTTTTTTTTTTTTTTTTGAGACGGAGTCTCGCTCTGTAGCCCAGGCTGGAGTGCAGTGTCAGGATCTCGGCTCACTGCAAACTCCACCTTCTGGGTTCACACCATCCTCCTGCCTCAGCCTCCCAAGTAGCTGGGACTACAGGCGGGCACCACCACGCCTGGCAAATTTTTTGTATTTTTAGTAGAGACGGGGTTTCACTGTGTTAGCCAGGATGGGCAGGATGGTCTCGACCTCCTGACCCTGTGATTCACCTGCCTTGGCCTTCCAAAGTGCTGGGATTGCAGGTGTGCACCCGTCTGAGCCACTGCGCCTGGCCGGGAGCTTTTGAATTAACTAAGGAAATTGACAAAATAGAGAATGACTCCTTATGTGACCTGCAGAAAATATTTTGTGTCATTCGTGGTACATTTATCATATTTTCTATAGGTTTGTACTATGTTACTTCACTTCTAAGAATTCGAAGTAGTTCAAAGCCAGCAGGGACTGGTATATTATAGCATATTTAACCTAAGCAACTCTAAAAGCTAACGAAACCAAGTATCTACAAACTTTAGCCATAGCTACCATCAACATGAAGAATGTAATAGGCAAAATGTTTTACATGCTGAATAAGCACTACTGAATTCTCTATATATTTTTTGCAGTTTTAATTTAAAAGTATACTAGTTAGATATTTCATCTATACCCTGGTATAGTAATAAAAATTCAGATATTGCTCAACGAGGAAGCATATTTTCAAAGCAACAGACCTGAAAACTAGTATTTTATTTGATATTTTAAGTGCTTATTTCATTTTCTGGTTAAAGATGTTTGTGGAGGTAAAATTTAAAATAGATACTCTGTGTTCTTCTATTATATAACATTGAAATTAAATTTTTTATTAGTAAATGTAGAAAAGGTAAGTCTGAAGCATTGACTGAGAAAGATTTAGTAAATGGAGAATTTTGACTGTTAAACATCCTATTTTAACAAAAATATGCATAAAATATTCTTAGGATGATTTAATTAACCTTTTAATAAATACGAAAGACATTATGAAAAAAAGAATACATCACATTGCAGAATCAAAAGTAATAAAAATCACTCAAATTCTACTGCTCAGAAATGAAAATAATTGCTAAACATTAGGTGGCAGTATTTCAGACATTCCTATATAAATATACTTGAATGAGGCCCAGAGCAGTGGCTCACGCCTGTAATCCCAGCACTTTTGGAGGCCAGATAATGGCATGAACCCCGGAAGCGGAGCCTGCAGTGAGCGGAGATCACGCCACTGCACTCCATCCTGGGCGAAAGAGCAAGACTCCGTCTCAAAATAAAAATAAAAATAAATAAATAAATAAATAAATACACGCATTCTTCATTTATAAAATACATTTAATATTTTTAAATAAATAAGTCAAAACAAAACGTTGATAAAATGACTATAGTTATTTGTGTGAATATATGCATGTGTGTTTGTACAGATGCATTAAGAAATCTTAATCCTCAAAATGATGAACATTTTAGAAGAAATATTAAGTATAATAGAGTTTGGGATCTGTATCTTTCTTTCTTTCTTTTTCTTTTTTTTTGAGACGGAGTCTCGCTCTGTCGCCCAGGCTGGAGTGCAGTGGCACGATGTCAGCTCAACTGCACGCTTCGCCTCTCAGGTTCATGCCATTCTCCTGCCTCAGCCTGCCGGGTAGCTGGGACTACAGGCGCCCGCCACCACGCCCTGCTGATTTTTCGTATTTTTAGTAGACACGGGGTTTCACCGTGTTAGCCAGGATGGTCTTGATCTCCTGACCTCGTGTTCCGCCCGCCTCGGCCTCCCAGAGTGCTGGGATTACAGGCTGAGCCACTGCGCCCTGCCCTGGGATCTGTATTTTTCTAAGTAGGTGATTCTGTATCTAATGAAAAATTATCACTTAAAATTTCAAAATGTTTTAGTTTGTTGTTATTATTATTATTTGTATTACTTTTAAAGCTGGGGTCTTCTTATGGTGCCCAGGCTAATCTTGTTAATATTTTTATATTATCATTGTATCTTAGGCCGCTCAAGCTGCCATAACAGAATACCAGAGACTGGTGTCTTCAACACACATTTGTTTCTCACAGTTTTGGAGGCTGGGAAATCCTCCACAAGGTTCGGGCAGATTCAGTCCCTGGTGAAAGCCCCCTTCCTAGACTACAGGCTCCTGCCTTCTGACAATGTCTTCACATGGCACAAAATAGAGAAAGACAGAGAGCTATGGTCTCACTTTCTCTTCCTATAAGAACACTAATCCCATCATGGAGATGCACATGATCTTAACCAGACAAATTTCTTTTGGATATTTTGAACTGATCAAATAACTCACATTGATTCAAAATATCACAGTTATTAAAACTCAGGCACAAAATCAAGTTAGTTCATCACTAATTGAGGCAGATAATTTTAAATCAAAATATAGCTACACAAAACATCATTTCCTAATTATCTTAGACTTTAAAAGTAGTTAGAGGAAGAGAAAGCTCATCTCTCTATTACAGTATTAATGGGTTTCCCATCCTAGGTGTCTTAATCTATTTAAACAGCTATAACAAAATACCATAAATTGGTGGATTATAGGCAATAGAAATTTGTTGTTCACAGTTCTAGAGGGCAGGAAGTCCTAGATCAAAGTGCCGTAAGAGTTGGTGAGGACCTGCTTCTTGATTCATGAATTGCCATCTCTTCCCTGCATCCTCACTTGGTGAAAGGGGCAAGAGTCTCTCCGGGGACTCTTTTATAAGTGCACTAATCCCATTCATGAGGGCTCTACCGTCATGATCTAATCCCCTCCCTCTAAGGTCCCACCTGCAAATATCATCATATGGGTGTTACATTTCAACAGCTGAATTTTGGGGGGCACTATCATTCAGTCTACAGCACTGTGAAATCCCTAATATCGAGTTTTCTTTTTAATTTTTGTTTTGTTTTGTTTTGAGACAGAGTCTCGCTTTCTCGCCCAGGCTGGAGTGCAGTGGTACGATGTCCGCTCACTGCAAGCTCTGCCTCCCGGGTTCACGCCATTCTCCTGCCTCAGCCTCCCGGGTAGCTGGGACTACTGGCGCCCGCCACTACGCCCGGCTAAAATTTTTTGTATTTTTAGTAGAGATCACCGCACCTGGCCCTTAGATGAATATTTGAATAAAAGTTGTATGTATGATGATAAAACAACAAGAAACTGAATTTTTGCAGAAAGTAAAAATAAAACTTGTCACTCTTTATATAGGCAAATCAGAGACTAGAGGTTTTAGAAAAGACATCAGTATGTTCCATATAAAGTATGTACTGGGACCCCGTCCGTCTTTTTCACCATATAATAACAGTGCTTTTAATAGTACCTGGGATGGCTGGGTGCAGTGGCTTACGCCGTAATCCTAGCACTTTGGAAGGCCGAGGAGGGAGGATCATGAGGTCAGGAGATCGAAAACATCCTGGCTAATACGGTGAAACTCCGTCTCTACTAAAAATAACAAAAAAATTAGCCGGGCGTTGTGGCGGGCGCCTGTAGTCCCAGCTACTCTGGAGGCTGAGGCCGGAGAAAGGCGTGAACCCGGGAGGCGGAGCTTGCAGTGAGCGGACATCGTGCCACTGCACTCCAGCCAGGGCGACAGAGTGAGACTCCATCTCAAAAAAAAAAAAAAAAAAAACTACCTGGGACATGATATGAACTCAATGACTATTTATTGAATGAATTAATTGAACAAGTTTATGCAAGAAATTGACATAAAATTAAACATTGTCTTCTTATATCATATAGTGTCTACAAAAACTAAGTTGATACAGAACCTGTATTCTAACATGATTAAATTTGAGCCAAGTACATTTCTCTCTTAAGAATTTAGAAGTTTATAAAGAAATCAGGGCCTGGGAACTGAATCATTAATGGAAGATCTCAAAGGCAATATTCTTTTCATTGTAATTAATATTAAGTCGTTAAAGTAATAATAAATAACTAACATTTAGGTTCCTGAAAAAAATGATTAAATTGAACATCAAATAGTTTGCATTTATATCACACTGTACAATTTATATTTTTTATGCTGCTTTACTGTAAGATTTCATTGAACAAATGCATCTTATGATTTCAAGGTAAGGTATTGAAATATGCCTTTTAAAAATGTAATGCTGTATTAGTGATTTTAAAATATGTAAAAAAAATATGTGGGAAATACTAGAAACGTTATTTGAAATTAGCCAGTTCTGGATTTGCTTATTTTTTTAATTTTATTTGCCAAACTGAGAACAATAGCCTTTACACATTTTCTATTTTTCTGGACTTGATTCTTAGGAACTTTAATTTTGCACTTTTGCATTCCTCTATAAATGTTAATGTTTTGGCCAATGACATTTCTCTAGATAAATTCAAAAGCTTAACCTAAGTAATGTAATGGTGGCATTTATGAAATTGACTCCTGGTTCTCTCTTTAAATTCTTTTTTATTGTTTATTTCTATGGCACCATTACACTATGCTATCACATTGTTCTTGTTTTATTCCCCATGTTTAAAAAGCTGTATATTCTTTGCTGAATCTTAAAGGTCACTTTGAAACCTGAAGACCATGACTGAAATACAGTGAAGATTAAAGATAAAAAGGAGAAAAAAGGTTAAATTATAAAACCTCTAATATCATTACTCATATATATGATACACACAGAGATGCATCACCTAGGTCCTCCCTGAGAGCTGTGTCAGTAGACAGGACTCAGCTGTGAGCCCCTTCAGACGTCACCTCAGCTGCAGAGCTTCCCCCTGCCTAAGGTCCTGAGGTTCCCAGTTGTGGCGCATATGCAACGACTGATTGAGGTGAGGCAAGGAGGCAGGTGAAAGAGGTGGGGAGGGGACTTGGGGCCTATAAAGACTCAGTCATGTCATTGCAATGTGAAAGGATGCCAGTGGGCCATTTTATCTTCAAAGTCCCCTGTGAGATGAGCCAAAGCTGTGGTCCAGGACTTCTTTTCAGCCCAGCTTTTTCCCTTTCCCTCAATCCAGCTTCCTTCTTCTCCTTTTCACAGGTAGTAATCCAAGGGCACTCCCTAGTATATATCTCCATGTCCAAATCTGCTTACTAGAGAACATTGTATCATGAATGATACCATTCTTCAAAAATATGGGGTACTTTGAGTGAAAGGAGTGAACGGTATGGAAGAACAGCTTTGGTAGAGTAATTAGAATAGAAGCTACTCTACATTGGGTTGATGCATGAATGGGATATTAGGAAGTAAAGTAGCAAATTGAAAACTCCTTTCAAAAGAAGAGAATTAGAAAAGGGTCAGCAAGATAGTAGTTGGGGCCTGGCTGTGATGGATCACGCCTGTAATCCCAGCACTTGGGGAGGCTAAGATGGGAGGATCACTTGAGGTCAGGATTTCAAGACCAGCCTGGTCAATGTAGCGAGACCCCACCTCTTTAAAAAAAAATGTAGTTGGAAGCTAGAGAATAGCATAACAAAAAAGAGGGTGATTTTAGAAGATAAAAGGGCCCACTGGAGCTCTCTCACATTGGAATGAAATTCTGAAATTACCCTCTTTTTGGTTATGTCATTCTACCTCAATCATTTTGCCTCAATCATGTTTACAGGCAAAATAAGAGATAGAGAAGTGGGAAGGGCTGAAGGCAGAGATATGAGACACAATAACAAATGGGGAAAGATACAAGATATAATGGAAGGCATGAGCTAGATCAATTCTACAAGTGAAAAATTACATTAATTAAGAGGAAGGATCACTCATCACCCAATTATAGGTAAGTTTATAGGAGGGTGGGACTGGCTACATAATGGTAGGTGATACTTTATGTCCTTATTTTCATTAAAGAGAATATGTCTTTTCCTGAAAATGAAAGATGTGGGTTTGAATAGAGAGTTGGCAAAATTTGGTATTTATTTGAAATTGGCATTTATTTGGGAAGATAATGTAGGGTAACTAATCCACTTAGATGATAGTTATTAACTATAAACTATGTACCAGGTACTTTGCTATAATATAAAGGCAATGGAAAAACCAAGATTCAATCTTGATTTGACATCCTTAACATTTACAGTGTCGTGGTGGAAACTATGTAAAGAATCCAGTGTGATAGAAGGTGGTAGATGTGGAAACAGGAGGTTTAGAAAAAGCTCCAGGACACACTGCTGATACATCTAACTCAGGATCAGGGCATTAAAGAAAGCATCACACTCTCCCTCAATCTCTCTATTCTGTCTCTTGATTGAATCATTTTAACAAAGTATCAAGATGGCCCTCAGCACTAAGGAGGAAGTGTTATTTGAAAGCATGTGTTTGAATAGTTGCATTTATCTAAACAGAATTTTTCACTCCTGTGTAGATTTGGCTTGGAATTGGTGTATTCTGGCATTCCATGTTGTAAAGCACTTGAGGTGCTTAAGAGATATTTGGTTGGCGGGGTGCAGTGGCTCACACCTGTAATACCAGCACTTTAGAAGGCCGAGGTGGTTGGATCACCTGAGGTCAGGAGTTCGAGACCAGCCTGGCCAACATGGTGAAACCCCGTCTCTACTAAAAATACACAACTTAGCTGGGCGTGTTGGCAGGTGCCTGTAATCCCAGCTACTCGGGAGGCTGAGGCGGGATAATTGCTTGAACCTGGGAGGCAGAGGTTGCAGTGAGCCAAGATTGCACCACTGCATTCCAGCCTAGGGAACAGAACAAGACTCTATCTCAAAAGAAAAAAATAAAAAAAGAAGGAGAGATATTTGGTAAATAACTGAGGCAAAGGTGGAAGAAAATAGTGTTCTGCAGGAGATCAAATAATGTGTGAAGAGAAAATAAAAATTTTAAAGAACTAAAAGAATCAGGTATTGAAGTCAAAGGTGAGAGGGCCACTGGAATTCAAAAATACAATGTGAATAACTACAGAAGATATCATCATTCCTGATGAGGCAATGAATGTGGGTGCCTAAATTAGAGTAGAAATACATGTTATTGAAGATAAGGAGATCAAAAGGTGTAAGGCCAGGGTGTTGAATGTATTTTGCACAAATGCGCTAACGTTACCCAGAGTGTTGGCAAGGGGAAAATCATCTGATGGCCTGTAGCCAGAGTTTTCCTTAAAAATGCAGATGTGTCCTCCTGGAAGATAGACATCTTTGAAAAAATGAAGGAAATTAGGGTCTCACGGCATGAATCTCATGGAGGTGATGAAGGACTGATTTGAGAGCAGCCATGCAGAGTTAGGACAATGCC
The DNA here is from genome assembly GCF_000001405.40 of Homo sapiens. Lineage (NCBI taxonomy): Eukaryota > Metazoa > Chordata > Mammalia > Primates > Hominidae > Homo > Homo sapiens. Next base: position 2,069,712 of record NW_012132920.1, read on the forward strand.
AGCAACATCTGACCCATGTACATGAAGCTCCAGATAACTTAGGTGATTGCTTTAATGCAAAAGGCCACACAGTGTGAATTCCTGAGAGACTATTTATCTTTTATATTCCAGAGGTTGGAATGGAATAATTCACTCTTTTAAAAGGCTTGCTGGATATCCTCTATTTCAGGGCTCTCCAAACCCATACTAGTCCATAGCTGTTAGGAACTGGGCTCCACAGCAGGAGGTGAGTGGCGGCTGAGTGAGCGAAGCTTCATCTGTATTTACAGCTGCTCCTCATGGCTCGTGTTACCCCCTGAGCTCCTCCTCCTGTCAGATCAGCAGCAGCATTAGATTCTCATAGGAGCATGAACCCTATTGTGAACTAAGCATGCAAGGGATCTAGGTTGTGTGCTCCTTATGAGAATCTAATGACCGATGATCTGTCACTGTCTCCCATTGCCCCCAGGTGGGAACATCTAGTTGCAGGAAAACAAGCTCAGGGCTCCCAGGGATTCTACATTATGGTCAGTCGTATAACTATTTCATTATATGTTACAAAGTAATAATAATAGAAATAAAGTGCACAATAAATGTAATGGGCTTGAATCATTCTGAAACCATCCCCACCACCACCATGTCTGTGAAAAAAATTGTCTTCCACAAAACCAGTCCTTGATGCCAAAAAGGTTGGGGACCACTGCTCTATTTCTCTTCACTACTTAGAGAATCTGTTCTTCCACTCATGATCTACAAGGATTAAATGTTTCAAACAGTTCAAGTCTTCAAAATATGTATTTTGTAAACTTGAATTTTTAGAAATCATTCACAGTATCCATATTATATTTTATTTGCTGCAATGCCCTATACATTTCCCATATAATGCTCTTGAATATACTTTTACAACTTCAGTAACTTTACCCTTTACTGAATCTCAATCTGTCTCTCCATTTCTCTCTCTCAGCAAATCTAAACAAAAGAGAAACATGTCGACTTGTGCTATGGTCTAAATGTTTGTGTCTCTAAAATTCATGTGTTGAAACTTAATCTCCAATGCAATAGTATTAAGAGATGAAGGCTTTAGAATGTGACTGGCAGAGCCCTCATGAATGGGATTGGTGCCTTTATAAAAGAGGCCTCCAAAATCTCCCTAGCCCCTTCCACCAAGTAAGGAAGCACAGAAGTCACCATCTATGAAGTAGAGAGCAAGCTCTCGCCAGACACCAAATCTGCTGACACTTCAGTCTTAAACTCCCACCCTCCAGAACTGTGAGCAATAAATTTCTGTTTTATAGTTGTCTAAATTATCCTGTCTAAGGTGTTTTTTTATAGTAATGTGAATGGACTAAGACAACTTGAAAATGCAAGGTACCACACCAATAACAAGGAAAATACTCATGTTTTGTAACATTTATTTTATACCAAAGATACGCCAATTACTGTATACAAATATATGCCAAATGTTGGGTAAAATACTTTACATAAATTATATTAATCCTGACAACAACCTGAAGGTAGATACTGTTGTCTGCATTTAAAGATGAGGACGTGGGGCTTGAATTAAGTAACTTAACTCACATCTCATCATGCTAAATGGCAAAGCTGGGATTCAAACCCTGCTCAGTCGGACTCCCATCAGGCTGCTCTTAGCCTGGTTATATTTTGAAGAAAAGAAGTTCAGAAACTTATCCATAGACATGGCCAGGTAGGGCCAGAGTCCAGACTCAACTGACTGTCAGCCAAGGCCAGCCTCAACTCTTCCATTTTACCTCCAGCCTGAACAGCTTAAACATTTTTTCTCTTGCCATCTTATTAGAGTACATAATGCCTATAATGATGGGATCCACATGATATAGCATGACAACACTCTGTTTTAAAAAAGGTGAAATGTAATTTTTTTTAAAAAAATTTTAAGTTCTGGGATACATGTGCAGGACGTGCAGGTTTGTTACATAGGTAAACGTGTGTCATGGTGGTTTGCTACCCCTATCAACCTATCACCTAGGTTTTAAGGCCCCCATGCACTAGCTATTTATCCTGATGCTCTCCTTCCCCCCAACCCCCCAGTAGGTCCCAGTGTGTTTTGTTCCCCTCCCTGTGTGCTTGTGTTCTCATTATTCAGCTTCCACTTAGAAGTGAGAACATGCGGTGTTTGGTTTTCTGTTCCTGTGTTAGTTTGCTAAGGACAGTGGCTTCCAGCTCCATCTATGTCCCTGCAAAGGACATGATCTTGTTCCTTTCTATGACCGCATAGTATTCCATGGTGTATAGGTACCACATTTTCTTTTTCTAGTCTATCATTGATGGGCATTTGGGTTGATTCCATGTCTGTGCTATTGTGAATAGTGAAGCAAAAAACAGACGCGATAGGAATGCTTTTACACTGTTGGTGGGAATGTAAATTAGTTCAACCATTGTGGAAGACAGTGTGGCAATTCCTAAAAGACCTAGAACCAGAATTGCCATTTCACCCAGCAATCTCATTCCTGGGTATATACTCATAGGAATATAAATCATTCTATTATAATGAAACATAATGTAAAAATACCTCGAGTGTATTTGTATTTTGGTAATATCTGAATAAGACATAAAATATAACGCACACATCTTTATATCGTTTTATCCATATCTCTCTTTCTTTAAATCCTTCTGGTTAAAATTTGTCATTGCCTCCTGACTATGTATTTATTTTTTCTTTTCTGGAAGAAAGCTCACCTAGGCCTTACTCAAATGCATGTTCTCAATCTTTACCTACCACCCCTCCTGCCTTTTTGTTCCAGTTTCCTCTTATCATTGTACTGATGTGGAGATAACGAAAGAGAATATCACTGTCAGCCACCAGCAGTGCCTTTTCAGAGAAGAGCAATGGGGAAGAAATTGAGCAGACAAAGCCAGAATCCCCATTAGCAAACAGAAAGAGGGAGCTCAGGATAACCACATACGTTAATAATTCTTGCCCCCCAAAGGGAAGCTCTGTAAAATAAGTTGTATTACATCCGTACATAGCAGTACTTTAAATATAACTCTAGCTTAAGTATTTTAAGCATCTCCATGATATGAACCTAAGGGAATAAACTCAATAAATCAATATTTATAAGCTCTGTTCACTTATTTCTTGTGGTTTCAGCCACTGATTTCAGAATATGCATGAAAAATATATTTCTTCTGAATATTTGATTTCATGATCCCAAGTAGACACATCTCTGTATTGGGTTTCAACAAGTCCACAGAAGTTAAATACCCACTTTTAGCCAGCTTTGATTTTCAGAAGTTTAATTCTGACATTTAGTGATATACAATATGTAAAACAACCTGGCACTATATCTGTCATATCATAAGTACTTGGCAAATATTTCAGTTTACTCTTTCTCATAATTGAATAATGGCTCAATAGTAAAACTCTGTAGGGAAAAATTTAACCTCTTATTTATCAGTTACAAATAGTTTAAGACAGATAATACCCCTTTCCTTGTTAGCTTTAATGATGAGTCATTAAAATTGTGAGCAATGTATTTATTTTGAGGAAACTATTTTTTACTAAGGATTTTTTTTTTTTTAGAATTTTATGAGTCTTCAAAATAACTAGAAAATCTTAAAGTGTTACCAAACAGAAGTGGACATTTAATAAACACCTCAACTTTAATACTTACAGAAAATCATTTGAAGGCTGTCACTCCTCTGGGTATTATAAATTTTAGCCTCGGTCAAATCAGATCACCAGGAGGCTACAAAGTTGAACTATATTGCCTTAGTTTCCAACAGAGTTTCTTTCCTTGAATTAAGTTTTGGGGCCATGACCTACTCCTTTTAATAAAAGAACAATACAACAAATAGTCATATGAAATCCATTTTGTTGCCTAATACAAAAATATTGTTGAAGAGTATCATAATTCAATGGCCCATATATATAAAATGTCTCAGCAAAGGCACTTATGTCATAATTCAGTACTAGGAAATGATTCCCTTCAGGCAAGCTCCCCCTTAATTTTTTTTTTTTTTTTTTGAGACAGAGTCTTGCTCTGTTGCCCAGGCTGGAGTGCAGTGGCACCACCCTGGCTCACTGCAAGCTCCACCACCTGGGTTCACGCCTTTGTCCTGCCTCAGTCTCCTGAGTAGCTGGGACTACAGGCTCCTGCCACCACGCCCGGCTAATTTTTTGTATTTTTAGTAGAGACAGGGTTTCACCGTGTAAGCCAGGATGGTCTCGATCTCCTGACCTCGTGATCCGCCCGCCTTGGCCTCCCAGAGTGCTGGGATTACAGGCATGAGTCACTGCACCCGGCCCCTCCCCATTAATTAAGGTGAGAAATACATAAATGATGATGGTAGTCATTGACGCACCAGTTACGAAAGAGTGAGGCTGGGTAACTGGATGACACCTGCACAGGGCTCTGAGGTCTCAAGGAAAATGACAGGTGTTTGTGTATTTCAAAAATGTGGACATGATGGCATGAGGCCCAGTGAAGAAGGGGTAGATTATGAATGGTGTTATCCTGAACATAAGGAGACTGAGATAGTGTAGTTTTAAAAATGGCAGCATGAAAAAAGGTGAATGCTAACCCCACCCCACCTTACGGTAAGTGTCTGAAAAATAATCTTTCCAGGTACTACTAGTAGGTATTCTTAAAGGACAGAGGCAGCTTTCTGTTTGAGTAGGAAGGTATTGGAAGCAGTATATGAAGGAATAAAAATATAAAAGAGAGAAATATTGGAGCAAGAGTGGGAAGTATGGTTAAAGATAAAGAAATGGCAGAGCACTTTAGGGAAATATGGTGTGAGACAGAAAAGAGGCATTTTTGAGTGATGAAAATACTAATCATGGCTAACACTTACATAGCATTTATTGTATGTCAAGCATTTACGTGTATTAACTGTTATGATGCTCACATTAACCCCAGGAGGTCAGGCCTATCACTTTACAGGAAGTTTAAGCAACTTCTGAAATATTAACAATTCTTCTGAATTGCTTCTCTGGTGACAGGAATAAGAGTCGCAGTAGCATCAACTTGCTAAAAAGTTTAAAATGGTGCTCAGAATAAAGGTATTTTACTGCTTTTTGAGACTCATTGTAAAATGGCTTGAAATGTCTTTGCCCTGAATCTCTGCCAGTGGGAAATTGGATGAGTTGCTAAAGAATGTGGAATTAATTATCCAAAAACACTTTAGATATTTCTCTTTGTATAGGGTATTGTAAATGGTCTTTAGCTAATTATAATTTAATATCTCACTTGTCTCTCTCATACATAGGTATATATGTTATATACACATGTGTATGTGTACAATTCAATACATCTATGTGTCTATGTAGCTACCTATGTATGCATGTATGTATGTATGTATCTGCCTATCTATTAATCTATCTCTGTGTATCTACCTACCTATCTATATCTGTGTCTATCAACTTCAGGAATGCTTGGCATTCTTCTAACATCTGCGGGGTATTTAGGGATTAGGCTATGATGATAGATTTCCAGCTTCATTTCTTTTTAAAATCTTTTATTCTTCTTGCTCATTTTCCTTTTCCTGTCCCTAAAGGACAGTTTCTCCTCAGTTTAGGACTTCTTCCTTTTGCTCTCTTATCATTTGCAGACTTTCCGTTCTCAGCCAGAACCTCCCTTTTGTGCACTGTACAACCTGTTGACACTGTCACAGTTGCCACTTGATCATTGCAGATAAAGGAGGAAGTAGCAATTCTGGAATGGGTGGCTTATCTCTTGGCTTTATAACTGGATATCTTCATCTGCTATTCAGTCACTCTTTTTTATTATGGAGACATGTTTTCTGGGAAAATGCTACCATGAAGCAGGACCAATCTCCAGTTCAAGGTACCTCTTGATTTGTTCATTCCAAAGCATCCCCTGTTAGGAATTAGGGCTCAGATCATGGGGTCATCTATTCTGTAAGTAAAAGGCTGACAAAAAGTCTGTTACTTCACTGCTCTTTACATTAGGGTAATATTAACAATGGAAATCCAGTTCATTCAATAAAACAAGTGTCGATGAAGAGTCAAACTCGGTAAAATATTTTAAGAGACTTATTCTGAGCCAAATATGAGTGACCATGGCACATGACACAGCCCTAAGGAGATCCTGAGAACACGTGCCCAAGGTGGTCAGGGTGCAGGTCAGTTTTATACATTTTAGGGAGACATGAGACATCAATCAAATACATTTAAGAAACACATTGGTTTGGTTCAGAAAGGCGGGACAATTCAAAGCAGGGGTGGGGGGGTGCTTTCAGGCTATAGGTAAATTTAAACATTTTCCAATTGATAATTGGTTGAGTTTGTCTAAAAACCTGGGATCAAAGGAAAGGATATGTCCAGGTTAAGCTAAAAGATTGTGGATACCAAGGTTCTTCTGAAGTCTTATAGTGGCTGCCCTTAGAGATAATAGATGACAAATATTTCCTATTCAGACCTTAAAAGGTGCTAGACTTCTACTAATTTCTTCAGGATTGGGAGGGCTTGGAAGAAAAAGATCTAGTTATGTCAATAGAGATTCTTTACAGATGCATATGTCCCCCAACAAAGGGCAGCTTTGCAGGACCATTTCAAAATATGACAAAGAAACTTGCTTTTGGGGTAAAATTTTTTTTACTTTCTTCTTTGTCACATAATGTTATGCCAGAGTCAGATTGCAAAGTAAGCCATGATATATAGGGTTAAATAAAATCCATCTGATGAGAATTTATGGTTAGTAGGGGATGACTCCCCAGACCCCTTAGATAAGAATTTGGGCAAAATAAAAAAATCAGAGCTTAGTCTTCACAAGTTATTGAAAAACAATGAGCTACCAATTTTATTTATTTATATTCTTTCAGTGGTCTTCAACAGGTGGCTCATGAATTCAGATATTTGACAATTTTAATGTGAAATAAATTTAAGATATTTCAACAACAATCATATAGGAAAATATAGATAAATAAGAAACTATAAAAATTATACTTTCAAACCTTTCCCTCTCTAAGACACATGGTTTACCTGATCTCACACAGATATTGAACATACAATTTAATTTTTAAAATTAATTTTTCTCACTTTAGAAAACTGGCATCTTGAGGCCGGGCACAGTGGCTCATGCCTGTAATCCCAGCACTCTGGGAGGCCGAGGCAGGCGGATCACGAGATCAGGAGATCAAGACCATTCCTGGCTAACACGTTGAAACCCCGTCTCTACTAAAAATACAAAAAATGAGCCAGGCGTGGCGGTGGGTGCCTGTAGTCCCAGCTACTAGGGAGGCTGAGGCAGGAGAATGGCGTGAACCCAGGAGGCGGAGCTTGCAGTGAGCGGAGATCGTGCTACTGCACTTCAGCCTGGGCAACAGAGCGAGATTCTGTCTCAAAAAAAAAAAAAAAAAGAGGAAAAGAAAATTGGCATCTTGAAACAAAAGAAAGTGTCTGCTTTCCCCTTAAAGAATCATAAAGAAATATAATCAATTAGACTCAGCCTAGAATTTAAAGCTTAATCAATTTTATTGATTGGCTTCAAGAATTTTATTGAAATGTCATATATTTATAAATTAAGACTAAGATGATACATATACTATCTACTGATTTTAAAATACAACAAATCATTTAACTAAATAAAATTAAAGATTGTAGTCTTTTAAACTTACCAACCAGAAATAATAATAAGCCAGTGAAATAAAAGATGTTCCAATAGAGAAATCCTTTGTCATTATATGACATACATTTTAATATGTTACACAGATAATCTGTGTATTTAAAATTTAATGATAAAAATTATTTGCAACATTTAACTGAAAAATTTTTATTCAGAATTTATCTTGAGACTTGCCATGTATTAATATAATTAATGTACCTTATAAGTAAATATTGATTATATTAAATTTTTAGAATTGGGTCGAATGTGTATCTCCTCTCCTCTGATAACTTAGTTCATTCTATGAAATGGTGCTAGAGACTAAGAAATACAGAGGTTCTGTTATCAAGTGTCATGAACATCAAGTGCCTTTTTCTCCACTAATGTTAGAATGCCTCTCCAATTATCCTCTTTAGTAAACTGTGAGCTGAAAATAGTGAAGTCTGATATTGCAAACAATGTCTCCAGTATAAAGCTTTCTTGAGATGAGAATCTTTTCTAAGAACATTTTTCTTGTCACATAAAGTATGTCACACGGTGGCATATTCCAACTTAAAGTTAACGTGTACTAATATAAAGGCCTCAGCGGAATGTATTAAGTGGATTTCTTTTGGCATTGGGTAAAGGAATCTTTCAAGGATTCTGTGGATATACAAACAAGAAACAAATTTCAAAAGAAGCATATGCACAAAATTTTTATAACCGGTTAGAATCATGATCTGGACTAAACACAAACAAGTGAACCAAAGTACAATACAATACAAAGCAAAAATTAAAAATAAACAGGAAATTTAATTCTATACGATGCAGAAACTATGTGCCAATACTCAGTGTAAACATACACTATTAGGAGGAAGTTGCTGCCACACAAGCAGATGACAAAGTTTAAGCAAAGCTGAAGAAGTTAGGTAGTGGCGTGCGGAGGGATCACTTTGATTATTGGCGTAGTTCCTACCCTCCTATTATTCTGGTTACCATACATTAGTGAGGTGTCTCCAATGGGTTTCGAGGGTTACAAATACCTTCCTGCATATTAGTCTACCTTCCTTAGAACTTCTTAAGATGGGCCATTGTCTCATGATACTCAATAATTCAGGAAAATCAATAATTGGGATTAAAATAAACCAATTAATTACATACTTCTTTATCTCAGTGTGACATAAACATACATTTTCAGACAAGTTTTCATTACTGGGCAACTATGGTATCTACCCAATGTTGTGGCCAAAGTTGGAATATTCACAGTTCCCCCATACTTATGCCCTCCGTGTTTTGGTTTTCCAGATACATGCTGTTGCTTGTACTTCAAATACACTTTCCCTATATCTCTGTCAATTCACGTCTTTCTCAAAAAGAACAGAGAAGTCAAATGGCTCCTCTACTAAACCTCTAAACATATATGATTTCTCCTGTCTTGACATTTTTACCAATTCCTATTCTCATTATAAGCTATGGTATCCAACTTGCACTTCTCTTCCTCTAACACCCCTGGCTTTCTTACCCCATTGTCTACATAGCTCAACTTCTTGCAAGTTGTCCATTCTTGCTCTCTCCTCTGTCTACAGCGATTTGCCTTCTGCTCCCACTGTTCACAAAACTTCTGTCCTCCATGTATTCATTTACAATGTTTTAGCCTTGGGCTGACCATACACCAGCTGTTCACAAAATTTATGTTGAACTGAATGACACTCGAATCAATAAATAAAGGAAAAAAGGGGAACAGAAGGGGAAGCAAACAACATCCTTCTTCACATGATGGCAGAAGGAGAAATACAGAGCAAAGAGAGAAAAGACCCATATAAAACCATCAGATCTCACGAGAACTCACTATCACGAGAGCAGCAGCATGGGGGTAACAGCCCCCATGATTCAGTTACCTCCCACTGGGTCCCTCCCACGACACATGGGGATTATGGTAACTACAATTCAAGATGCGATTAGGGTGGGGACACAGCCAAACTAGATCAGTGCTACAACTGACTTCACTGTAAATGAGTTTACAATGGGTAACTCCATATTATCTGAACCAAACAGCATAGAGAGACCTCAAGAAGAGTAAAGAAATCTTTGTCTCATGTACATGGTATACCATCAATAATGAAACTGAGGAAGATTCACGGAGGGAAGTCATCACGCTGCAGCAGGCAATTATATCTAAACCAGTGAGATATGAACAGTGCAAAGAAGAACTAGAACAAAGATACTGTCTGGCATAGAAAGTCCAGTATTAAAGACACAGAAGGCCCTACATTTGTCCAGTAAAGCCATGCTTGATTAATGCCTTGGAAACCCTGGAGACTGGATCAGAAATCTGTATATAAAATGGTTCTTCCTGGATAAAGTTGAGAGAAAAAGAAAGCTTATTGTGTTCAAGTAGAAACTGGGATAAGCTGTGGGCCATCTGGCTTTTCTGTTGCAAAAACCAGGGCTTAAATCTACATCTTTCTATAGTCATGAATGAGCAAACTGATTTTGAACAATCATCTAACAACGAAATATTTAGGATTCAAAAAGAATGTACTTATGAAAAGAATGTAACACAAGAAACTGAAAATTAGAAAATTTCCCCTTTTTACACTAAAAAAGACAGAAGAGCCATGACTTTTTAAAAAACTGGAGCAGTAAGCTTGTAGTGGGAAAAGTGATGGTGAGAAGTGCAGGCATAGAAAGGAAGCAGGTTTAAGTAAGATGAGAAAACACAAGGAAATCCAAAATCCCAAATAAAATAATTTTGCCTTAAATTTTATTATGTTTAATAGTAGACTGCTGTTTTCTTTTGTCAATTGCTGTCAGATAAGTTTTGCTCTTTTGATTTATTTTAAAAGAAACATTAACTCTTGGTTGGGCATGGTGGTTCATGCCTGTAATCCCAGCACTTTGGGAGGCCGAGGTGGGCAGATCGCTTGAGGCCAGGAATTCAAGACCAGCCTGGCCAACATAGAGAAACCCTGTCTACTGCAAAATAAAAAAAATTAGTCGGCTGTGGTGGCACATGCCTGTAATCCCAACTACTCGGGAGGCTGAGGCACAAGAATCACTTGAGCGTGGGAGGTGGGGGTTGCAATGACATCACCACAGTCTGGGCAACAGGGGGAGACTCTGTCTCAAAAAAAAAAAAAAAAATTAGTGGCCGGGCATGGTGGCTCACGCCTGTAATCTCAGCACTTTGGGAGGCTGAAATGGGTGGATCACAAGGTCAGGAGTTCAAGACCAGCCTGGCCAATATGGTGAAACCCCCTCACTACTAAAAATACAAAAATTAGCTGGGCATGGTGGCAAATGCCTGTAGTCCCAGCTACTTGGGAAACTGAGGCAGAAGACTCGCTCGAACCCAGGAGACAGAGGTTGCAGTGAGCCGAGATCGCACCACTGCACTCTAGCCTGGGCACAGAGAGAGAGCCCGTCTCAAAAATAATAATAATAAAAATAAAATTAGCAAAAAATTAGCCAAAAATTCATTAAAAATAAATATAAATATATTTATATATACATTTTATTCATTAATAAAATCATTTTATTCAATAAAATGAATTCATTATATATAATGAATGAATAAAATGTATTTTTCCATTAGGGATTTAAAAGGAGCATTGGATAAATTAAAAAATTTTTTGTCTTTTCTTTTGAAAAAATAAATTTAATGATGTATTTTTGGACTTTGATTAAAAATAATTCAATTTTATCTGTAAGCATAAATATTAGAAATACTCAGAGAAATTTAGCAGAAGGATAAGCATCATTTTGTAATGACAATAATTAAGTAGGGCTGCATAAGTGGAAGAATGGACATATAAATGCCTTTTTTTTTTTTTTTTGAAACGGAGTCTTCGCTCTGTCGCCCAGGCTGGAGTGCAGAGGTGCTATCTATGCTCACTGTAAGCTCCGCCTCCCGGGTTCACCTCATTCTTCTGCCTCAGCCTCCGGACTGGCTGGTACTACAGGTGCCCACCGGCTGATTTTTTGTATTTTTTTAGTAGAGATGGGATTTCACAGTGTTACCCAGGATGGTCTCAATCTCCTGACCTCGTGATCCGCCCGCGTCGGCCTCCAAAATTGCTGGGATTACAGGCGTGAGCCACCGCGCCTAGCCAGATTTTTTTTTTTCCAGAGGCTCCCTCTGTAGCCCAAGCTGGAGTGTAGTGGCGCGATCTCGGCTCACTGCAGCCTCCGCCTCCCGGGTTCAAGCAATTCTCCTGCCTCAGCCTCCTAAGTAGCTGGGACTACAGGCACGCACCACTACGCCCGTCTAATTTTTGTATTTTTAATAGAGACAGGGTTTCACCATGTTGGCCTAGGATGGTCTTGATCTGACTTCGTCATCTGCCCGCCTCTGCCTCTCAAAGTGCTGGGATTACAGGCACGAGCCACCGCAGCCGGCCGACAGATTTTATTTCATCTGTAAAGTTCTATAATGTCATTCACAATAAAATAAAAAGATATTATGCAAACCAAACAAAATTTTGCCAGATATGTGATACACTATACATAGAAAATAATTGCATATCAGTAAGAAAATAACTATAAATAGATAAAATCCATGAATAGTAACAAAAGTATAGGATATTAGAGAAAAAGTATTTGACAGAATGAAAGAAAAAAATGGTTGTTTTAGGATAAGTGGTCTGAGATGCATTCATGTGTTACTTCATTAGCTTGTATGTATTTAATATATTCTATATGTGTTCAACAATTGATGCAGATTCAAAAACAAAAAAATGTTCGTTTAGTAAGGAGATACACAACAACAAAAATTTCCTATAAAAGTGGATTACAATAATGAAAGTATCTAGAAATCTAATTTTAAAAAGTGGTACTCATTATCTGGGATCATCTGGGAAGAACTCATTTAATAGACCATTTGAGTAGACACTTGAGGATGAAGATAAATTTTCAGGCAGATTAATAACAATGGGGAGAGTTTTCAAGGCAGAGGAGATGACTTTTATAAAACGAGGAAAGCATGAAGTTTATGTAGCTTGAAAAGTGTGTTGTATTCAGGTAGTAATGCACTGACTCCATCACTCTTGCATTTTGTTTGTTTGTTTTGAGGCGGAGTCTTGCCCTGTCGCCCAGGCTGGAGGGCAGTGGCGCGATCTCGGCTCACTGCAAGCTCCGCCTTCCGGGTTCACGCCATTCTCCTGCCTCAGCCTCCAGAGTAGCTGGGACTACGGGCGCCCGCCACCATGCCTGGCTAATTTTTTCGTATTTTTCTTAGTAGAGACGGGGTTTCACCGTGTTAGCCAGGATGGTCTTGATCTCCTGACTTCGTGATCTGCCCGCCTCGGCCTTCCAAAGTGCTGGGATTACAGGCGTGAGCCCCCGCGCCCAGCCACACTCTTGCATTTTTTATTGGAGGCTCTGAGGAAAGGTCTGCTTCCACGTTTGTTCAGATTGTTAGCCACACTTAGTTCCTTGAGTAGGTATTATTGCAGTCCCCATTTCCTTGCTGGCCGTCAGCTGGGACCAGCCTTTCCTCCTAGACTGTCCCTGTTCCTTATGCTTTTTTCATGGGCCTTTCCAGCAGCACGAACATTTCAAATATCTCTGCCTTTCCCTCCTGCCCCGTCTCTCAGAAATCAACTACACATGGTCTCAGCTTTTAAGGGCTCATAGTGATTAGATTGGACTCATATACGGTCCTCATTTTAATATTCATAATTCTAACTGCAAAGTCTCTTTTGTCAGGTAATACAGCATATTCAGGTCTCAAGGATTAAAGTGTGAGCATCTTTGGGGGTTTTTATTCTGCTTACAACATTTACCTAGAGTATAAATTCAAGACATAAGGCAGAATCTTATGAGAAAAAGAAAGTACTATTTTGAACATACCTGTGGCAATCCTAAATGGGAATTAGATTCAGATTTGGCAGTTCTGGATAAAAGTGAAGGCTGAAGAAATAATTTGGTAGTCATCATGTTATACATTTTGTAAATGAAGCCATTATTACATATGAGAGGGTTAGCATTCACCCAGGGAGACTTCAAGTCAGTTTACAAAGTTAATATTCTATGGCATGTTCAATAGTAGCACCACCTTTTATTCAATTGGATAGTAGCCTGGGGTGAAGATTAAAAAGAAAGAAATATAACTATCTCTATATGGAGATGCCATGAGGTATAAAGAATTTGTATATAGATATATATGGAGAAATATTTATGCATACAGGAAATCCTAAGGAATCCACACACGCACGCACACGTGCACACATTAAGATGATAAAGCTGTGATTTTTTAGGCATAACTTTGTAGTAAGATGTTACATCAGGAACAGGAAACTACTATAGCAAAGCACCCAGAACAGTCTAAATAGTCTTGAAACAGAAAATTTTCTACCAAACTATATTAATTCGGTGTTGCATTAGCATAAAGATAGACATATAAATTTAATGAAATAATATTGAGCATTAATCAATAAACCTTATATTTATGAGCAATTGATTTTTAAAAGGATGCCAAGAAAATTCAAAGGGGAAATAGTAGTCTTGTCAACAAATAGTGTTGGGACAACTGTACATATGCATGCAAACAAACGAAGTTGGATTCTGACCTTACCTTACACACAAAGTTGATCAAAACCTAAATGTAAGACCTAGAAGTAAAAAACTCATAGAAGAAAACATAAGCAAAATCTTCATGACCTTAGATTAAACAATAGTTTCTTAGATATAGCACCAAATTACAAGCAACAAAAGAAAAAAAAGGGGGCTATATTATGCTTAATTAAAACTAAATTTTTTCTTTAAAAGAAAAAGCCAAGGAAGGGAAAAGACAACCTACAGAATGGGAGAATTTTGCAAATCATACATCTTCTAAAAGACTTGTATTCAGAATATGTATCTTACAACTCAATAATAAAAAAACATATAACCTATTTTTAAAATGGAGAAATGATTTGAGTAGAAAATTCTCCAAAAAAGATACACAATAGGCAAGAAGCACATGAAAAGATACTCAACATTATTGGTCATTTGAGAAATGCAAATCAAAACCACCAGGAGATACCATTTCATACTATGATCAAAAAGAAAATAACAAGTATGTTTGAGAATGTGGAAACAATCCCACATAAATCGCTGGTGGGAACGCAAAACGATGCAGCCATGGTAGGAACAATTTTGCAGTTGCACTTTGGGAGGCCAAGGCGGGAGGATCACCTGAGGTCAGGAGTTTGAGTCCAGCCTGGCCAACACAGTGAAAACCCATCTCTACTAAAAATACAAAAATTACCCGGGCGTGGTGGCAGGCACCTGTAATTCCAGCTACTTATGAGGCTGAGGCAGGAGAATTGCTCGAACCTAGGAGGCGGAGGTTGCAGTGAGCTGAGACCACGCCACTGCACTCCAGCCTGGGCGACAGAGTGAGACTCTGTCTCAGAAAAAAAAAGAAAAAGAAAGAAAGAAAAGAAAAAAAAGTTAAACAGTGTTATCAAATGACTGGACAATTCTACTCCTTAGGAATATCTCCCAAAGAATGAAAAACATGTCTACAAAGAACCTGGACACAAATGTTTATAGCAACATTATTTGTAATGGCCATAAAGACAGTGCAAATGTCCATCAATTGATGAATGGATAATCAAAAAGTGGTATATCCATACAATGGAATATAATTTAGCCATAAAAGGAATGAACTACTGATACATGATACATGTATGAATCATGAAAACATTAAGTGAAAAATGCCAGACACAAAATGTCACATATTCTATAATTCTACTTATATGAAATGCCCAGAAAAAGCAAATCTATAGAGACAGAAGGTAGATCAGTGATTGCCAGGGGCTAGAGAGAAGAGCAAACAAGGACTGGCTAATAAGAGACACAGGATTTTTTTGTTGTTGTTCAGTGATGAAATTATTCTGGAATTTGCAGTGATTATACCATAACCTTCTGAATATACTAATCACTGAGTTGCATCCTTGTTAAGGACAAATATTATGGTGTATGAATTATATCTTAATTTTAAAAAGTACAGTAAATTAAAAACAAATTGTGTTTCAATAATAAAATATTATTTTAATATCACAAAATCAATTATTGTAATTCACTATATTAACAATATGGAAGAAAATCTCATCTCAACAGATGCAGAATATATTTTTTAATATGCAAACAACAATGAAATGTATTTAATCTGGTGAAAGATAATCATAAAATCTTACAAAAATATTATAATTAATAAGGAAATATGGAAAGCTTTCCTTATGGGATCAGAAACAAAATTCCCTAGTCAGTTCAATAAGAAAAAAAAAGTAAGAATTAGCAAGAAAGAAATACACAGGTCATTATTTGCTAAGGACATTATTGTATATGTAGAATATCTAAAATAAAATATTAGAACGAATAACTAAATATAGCTATCAGGATCACTGGTTACAATATGAGCACATAAAAGTCTATTTTATTTCCTTACACTACCAATAACCAATTACAGAATAAAATTTTATAAATATACCATTTAGAATCAATATTTTGTTAACTTCATAAATTAACTGGAAAGTTTTTCTTTTGAAATATATTTTCAAAAATTGAAGAATTCTTCAAGTCAGTTAAATGGTTTTAAATATTTCTGGCCTACAACAACAAGGTTAAATCTGCATGTGATAATGGATCTCCCTACTGATACTAGAACTATCCCATTACTGAAAACCATTTTTAGATATAAATGGCAGGCACTTAAGAATTACTTCATTTCCTGTGGTGTTCCTTTAAAACAATTTTCCAAAACAGGCAAATCTTGCTCTCTCTCTCTTTCTCTTTAAAAAGTAACACAGGCTTATTTTTAAAGTTGCAATCAAAACAGACAGGTAAAAAGTAGAAAATTAAAATGACCCATCAGGCTTGTCTTAAAATTAACTACTGATAATATTTTGGTATATGTCCTCATATGTTTTAACGTATTTTTTCAGGTTTGTTCTATCAAAACCTAATTTAACAAAATCTGAGCAAATCATCCACTTCCTTTTCTAATATCCTTTTATACTGTGTGTTTATACATGTGGTTATGAATATATGTTCACAAGTGAGGGTATATATACACATACACACATACATGTGTGAGATAGAGACATAGGCAGAGGCAGACAGAAAGGCAGAGAATAGCTAGGAAAGTTGAGCTCAATTTAATATTGTAATTATAATATGCATGCTATTTTAAAATTGCTTTCATTTCTGAATTTAGACAGCATATAGAACTTGATAAATACAGTAATTAGAAATCCGAGAGTTATTTGCATACTTACACATCTGAAGTATCTTCCTATGTACAGATAAACATTAACCACAATTATCTACACATGTTGCTTGAATTTTTTCCTCCAGCTGTCATGTTAAAGCCATGATTGACACTTGTTTGCATACGATTTGAGAATTTAATATTTGGTTGAAATTCTCTGATCCTAAAACATACTGCTTGGAAATACACATTTTGTTTTCATACACATGGGATGTTGCACGCATACCGAAATTAAAGAATTACAATTAGTTGGTACCCAGCTTGCATCCTTAAGCAATCTTTGTAAATACTATTTTTCTTATTAATGCTGCTTTCTGTTCTCATTAAGTTTCAACAGAGTACTCTCAGTAATTTAAAACATATTGTTCCTTCAGTTAAATAGGCAATTTCCCTCTCAACAAATGCCTGGACCTTAAAGTAAGGTGTGGAAATGGACAAAATAGTCCCAAATATTTTAACCAGCAATATAAACTTTTGCAATGCTTTTATAGGATGTTTAAAATAACAAGAAAGACTTGGTTCTCGTGATTTTCACCAACGGTGGTTACAAACAGTCTTCTTCTTTACTATGTTTGAAAGGCATATTTCACTTCACATATCCTTTACTTGCTGCCAGAGCCTTCATATTGCTAGGGGGAAAAGCTTACCTAGCTCCGTGTTTGTAAATGTCAGCTAGCCAAAAGATATTTGGAAACCTATAAATGTTCGCCTTTCTAACATTTGCTTAAAGCTATCTGGAATTAACGTTCTCCTCTTTCCTCTTCTCTCACCTCAAGAAAAATAAATCTGTATACAGAAGTTGACACAAAATATATTAAATAAAGCTGGTATTCAGCCCTCTTGCATTCAAGCAAGAATTACCCATGTATGTAAAACAGAAGAAAATGTCTTGATAGTATTCTGTACCCGTGCTGTCAAACTACCCTTTGATATGTCTGCAATTTTCTCAGTAAAACACATTTTGTTTATTTTGGATTAAGAGCAAGCTCTTGCATGTCTACCAGGATTTATTAGCCTGGTAAAGAGCAGCACTACACAGAAACAACGAATATAATGTGCTCTTTGCTATGGTTTTAAGTTCCCCTTCAAACTCATGTGAAATGTAATTGCCATTGAAACAGTATTAAGAGGTGGGGGCTTTAAGAAGTCATGCAGGCTGTTGTCGTTTTTTTTTTTTTTTCCAGGTTTTTTCTATCAAAACCTAATTTAACAACATCTGAGCAAATCATCCACTTCCTTTCCTAATATCCTCATTTTCACTACTCTCTCCTTCAGCCGCAATGATCCATTCCATCATCTAACATTAATTTAGTAAAGATTTACTAAATCCCTTCTCTGTACAAATCATTTTATAGGATCTGAGTAAAGATACAGTGATTAGCATATGGCAGCCCTTGTCCTTTGACATGGCAAGAACAACTTTTCCTATTTTCAAGAGCTTGAGTATTCTGTCACTAATAGATCTAAAACTATCCAAGTTTACCTGGCCAACTTTTTCCCTTAAACTTCTGCCTCCCTTTTACAAAACTTCAAAAAAAAGAATTCCAAATTTAATCATGCTGTTAAAACAGATTTTCACATCATCCCGTAGTTACATAAAGGGCAGTCTCCTTAGCTCATACTTAAAATCATATCTTTTCAACCCTTGAGTATTGTTACCATTACCTCAAACGATCATATAGCTACTGTCTTTCAGGTTATTCACAATACAATAATTTGAATATGCAAAAACACCACAGAATTTAAATGAAAAGTAACTAACGCACCCTACTCCCCTCAAAAATCAATTAATAAAATTTGTAATTTCAACAAATATTTTTGAATATTTACAAATCAGAAACAAAAATGGCTAACTGGAAACACAAAACAGATAAAAGATTTGGTAAATTAACCCAACATGCAATTTTGAAAAATGTAAATTTAATTTTTACTTAATAAGTGATTTCTCAAAAAGTAACATTAATAAAGGGCATTGTCAGAAATTTTGAGTCTTTTAGGAGTGAAAACATCTGTTTGAACTAAAACTAGGAGACACAGAATGATGAGAACATATGAAGTTTTAGCTAAATATCCATGAATTACAAGGTTATTCTCTGTTGGTTTGGAGTACTCATTTACACACTAATACTCAGCTTTAGGAATTTAGGGCTCATTAACTTTGCTAAACATGGAATTTAGCGTTTTTTTAAAAACTACTTATTTCTTCACTATTTTTATATCCAAGTATACTCTTCTCATTACTCACAAAGGACAAATCTTCACCAAGCCCCTGCCCCTACAGTCAGGATAGTAATTTAATTCAAGCATCCCTTGAAAGCAATTATTTATGCTCGCTGCAGAAATTAGGGTAAATTTGTTGTGGTCCCATTTATTTTCTGGAGATTGGCGATTACATGTAAAATAATTTGAACGCTTGATAGATAGACTCATAAATATTTGGTTAATACAAGTAAAGCAGGGGGAGGCCAGGCGTGGTGGCTCACGCCTGTAATCCCAGCACTTTGGGAGGCCAAAGTGGGTGGATCACAAGGTCAGGAGACCGAGACCATCTTGGCTTACACGGTGAAACCCCGTTTCTACTAAAAATACAAAAAATATTAGCAGGGCGTGGTGGCGGGTGCCTGTAGTCCCAGCAACTTGGGAGGCTGAGGCAGGAGAATGGCTTGAACCAGGGAGGCGGAGCTTGCAGTGAGCTGAGATTGTGCCACTGCACTCCAGCCTGGGGAACAGAGCGGGACTCCGTCTCAAAAAAAAAAAAAAAAAAATGGAGCCGGGGGGGCCGGGCGCGGTGGCTCAAGCCTGTAATCCCAGCACTTTGGGAGGCCAAAGCAGGCAGATCACGAAGTCAGGAAATCGAGACCATCCTGGCTAACATGGTGAAACCCCGTCTCTACTAAAAATACAAAAAATTAGCTGGGTGTGGTGGCGGGCGCCTGTAGTCCCAGTTACTGCGGGAGGCTGAGGCAGGAGAATGGCGTGAACCCAGGAGGCAGAGATTGCAGTGAGCTGAGATAGCCCCGCTGCACTCCAGCCTGGGCAACAAAGGGAGACTCTGTCTAAAAAAAAAAAAAAAAGTAGTTACTTTCTTCTTCATCCCTTTCAGTGTGGCCACTATTTATAATGCAGTTTGGTTCATTAGTGTTTGTATTCCAAAAACACCCTCAGCCTTCCTATCCTAGTTTTAATGAATTATTAGGGTGAAACATAATAAGAGACGGAGAGTCGGAGCTATACAGAAAGGTCTACTCAGAGGTGCTTTGTTCCCTCCTGTTCTGTTCCCACCACTCCTACTTTCCACTACTTTTTCCACTGACCCTGTGAGCATCATATTTATTGTTAATGGCAGTTACATTTTTACCAAGTGCTTACTATCTGTAGGCACTTGGTGTGTATTGCTTCTTCTGGTGTTCACAGCAACCTCTTGAGGTAGGCACTATTATTATCCACCACCCCCCGCCCCGTTTTTTGAGACAGAGTCTCACTCTGTTGCCCAGGCTGGAGTGCAGTGGTGCGATCTCAGCTCACTGCAACCTCTGCCTCCCAGGTTCAAGCAATTCTCCTGCCTCCGCTTCCCAAGTAGCTGCAAGTACAGGTGCGAGCCACCACACCCATCTAATTTTTGTATTTTTAGCAGGCATGGGGTTTTGCCATGTTGGCCAGGCTGGTCTCAAACTCCTGACCTCAGGTGATCCCCATTTTTTAGATGAGAAAGCAGAGTCCCAGAGAGCATAAGGAGCTTGTCCAGAGTGGCATCTCTGATGCATAACCAGTACTCAAACCAGTATTTTTCTGACACCAAGGCCTGTGTGTAAACTGTAAAAGGGCTGTTTGGTGCCTGCTTTCCTAAAGTTGTCTGATCCCTTCTCAGTCCAGGTCTTCCTGAAGCTTGGCACTTCTGAAGTCACCTTTCTGAAAACATTCTGGTAACTGTTAGATCCCTTGTTGTAGCTATTCATATGTTCTGTGTGGTTAAACAAGGTTCACAGTGGGCCACCTGGCCTTTGGAACTTGGCTGAAGAGGCTGCCTTCAGTTCATCCTCCCCACCCCCGTTTTCAAAACATGGGTTTCCATGTGTTCGTTGTAAATTAGGAAACATAACCATGTTTTGAGGCTTCATAGAAAACAAACGTCTGGGGTCACACAGGTTAAAGGAGGAACCAAATTCAGCACTATCACTGTTCTATTCGGCAGGCAATTCTGGGGCCTTCCTGTGTCTCAGGTTCTGTACTAGTTGTTTCAGGACTTTGGGATAAACACAAACTATCCCTGCCCTCAGGGGGATTAAGGTCAGGTGTACAAATGACTCTAATGCGAGGCAAGGCTGGATTCAGTGCTGGAAGAGGAGGGCATACCTAACACTACGGGAATTCAAAGAGGAAATGATCAGAATGAGGAGGGAGAGATGGGTCATTCCGGGAGAAGCTTCAGGGAAAGGCAACATTTGAAATGAGACTTTGGAGAGTGAGGGAGGTTTGGGCAGATGGATAGAGAGGATGCAAGGCCAGGGGAAAGGTTTGAGCCAGAAAGTCAGCTTGGGCAAGTGCATGGGTAAAAAAAGAAAATCCACTTTGGGAGGCCGAGGCAGGTGGATCGCCGGAAGTCAGGAGTTGGAGACTAGCCTGGCCCACATGGTGAAACCCTGTCTCTCCTAAAAATACAGAAATTAGCTGGGCATGATGCTGGGCACCTGTAATTCCAGCTACTCGGGAGGCTGAGGCAGGAGAATCACTTGAACCCAGGAGGCAGAGATTGCAGTGAGCTGAGATCACACCACTGCACTCCAGCCTGGGCAACAAGAATAAAACTTCATCAAAAAAAAAAAAAAGAAAGAAAGAAAATCACAAAGCAGTGTGGGGAATGGTGAGTAATCTAATTTGGTTGTTGCAGAGAGGATGTAGAAGGAAGTGACAAGAGAGAAAGCCAGACAGGTGGCTTGGGGTCATCTTAAGGGCCTTTGTGCCAGTTAGGATGTTCCAGACTTCAGTCAGGCTGCCCAGCTCAGACTGGCTCAGACAATGAGGGGGTTTATTGGCCGTGTAATTGGGAAGTCCAGAGGCTCTAGGACTACAGAAAATTATTATTTAGTATTAGTTTGACAGCAACACCTTCTGTTTTCTGGGAGCAGGAGATGCTTGTCAAGCTGTAGGTCACTGAGTTGAATATTATCCTGCTTTATTAAATTGCCAAGGGCACGGTAATTGTTGAGAGGGGAGAAGTACACATGAAAGAAAACATGACCAGCTTAGAAACGTCAAATGATTATGACGTTGTTATAAAGTATTATAATTCTTTGAGCATCTACTATAAGTAGAGAAACTTGAGTTCCAGGTTGTGGGCTTGGTTCCGCCAACAATCAGGAACGTGGTTTTGCATGAAGCCCTTCTTTCTTCTATAATCTTCAGTGTCCTCACCTGCAAAATGAGGCCTTTATATATATATATATATATATATATATATATATTTTTTTTTTTTTTTTTTTGAGACGGAGTCTCGTTCTGTCGCCCAGGCTGAAGTTCAGTGGTACAATCTCTGTTCACTGCAAACTCCCTCTCCTGGGTTCACACCATTCTCCTGCCTCAGCCTCCCGAGTAGCTGGGACCACAGGCACCTGCCACCACGCCCAGCTAATTTTTTGTGTTTTTAGTAGAGATGGGGTTTCACCGTGTTAGCCAGGATGGTCTCGATCTCCTGATCTCGTGATCTGCCCGCCTCAGCCTCCCAAAGTCCTAGGATTACAGGTGTGAGCCACCACGCCCGGCTAAGGCCTTTATTATACTATGGTTCCTACTGTTTTTTAAAATACTTTTATTAAGTCCAACATTTTTATTAAGAACATTGCTTTTATACATGCCTATTTATGAAAGGGGTTTTCGAGTGTTTACCACTTTTTATTAGAAATAGAGACAGTAAGAATGTTTGACTTAATTGACACAGGCATAATTGAATGGGTATAAATGGCATGCCATAGAAAGAGAAAATTAAGTTGAGCTACTCTGTTGGTTTCACTGATGAGGGGATACATCATTCAAACAGCCAGGAATTAAATCCGTCCAGCTCACAAATGGGGAAACCAGCTGTGTCTGTACCCATGGCCAGCCAGACTGAACACAAATCAGGAAAGTCAGTAACTTTTCCTCAGTTCTGAGGGACTTCAGTGGCTGCGGTTCATTTTCCTTTTGCTTCTGAAACAGTGCAAGTTGATGCTCGCCTGGACAGAGCGGCAGTGAGTGGTGGCGTCTGAAGGCCAGGTCTCTGTTGAGATGACAACACGTCCTCTCCCAGTGCCCAGTGCATAGAAAAGATACACTACTAAGTGTGAGATCCTCAGTGAAAAATAAAATCTGGGGTTGAATCATCATGGGGGATACTGCATACTCTGTTTCCCCCCTGCAGATTTCCAATGCTCATTAGTTTATAGAGACTCTGAGAATTCCTACAGCAAAGGCACCTGCCGAGGTACTTACAAACTAGTTTAGCTAAACCAGACTTTCAACAATTGGTTACTAAAGACCACTCAAAGTCTGTCAACACTCTGTCATCTCTATGTAATGATAGAAACATAGAAATTCAGGGTAAATGTTTAGAAATTTCTATAGAAACTTGACATTCTCCCAGCATGTGACATCAGGGGACTTGTCTCAATGAGCAGTTACAGACCAACTCAGGTTTTGTCAGACTCGATGGAAAGATGCAGAGGCTGTGAGCTGCAAACGAGTCACATACACAAGGACCACATTGCAAGCTGCGTTCTTTAAGGTTAGTTTGTCAACTATAGTATAATCTCACACATCTGAAAAATGGGAACATCTATTCTATAAAGTCTTATTTTTGCAATATTAATTTTAAATCAAGCCAATGTTAGCATTATTAGTGAAAACAAAAGAAAGTTGTATTATTTATTATTAAACCTAATTTGAGAGTGAAATAAATTGTATTAATTTTTTTAACCAATAAAAGATGCACCTTGTAAACCAAGAGATGATTATGAAAGTGATTCTGAGGACATGAAGACCAAAGGAGTTTGTCCTCGTTTTACTCAGAAGTACTATTTCTAATGGACAGATGATCCCTGACATACAATGGTTTGACTTATAATTTTTTGACTTTATGATGGTGTGAAAGTGATATGCATTCAGCAGAAACCATACTTCAGTATTCAATAAATTACATGAGATATTCAACACTTTAAAGTGGGTTTGTGAGAGAGAATTTTTGCCCAATGGAAGGTGAATGTAAATTTTCTGAGAATGTTTAAGGTAAGCTAGGCTAAGCTATGATGTTAGCTTAGGTGTATTAAATGCATTTTAATTTAATTTAATTTAATTTTATGTTTTGAGACAGTGTGTTTTGTTCTTGTCACCCAGGCTGGAGTGCAATGGCATGATCTCGGCTCACTGCGACCTCTGCCTCTTGGGTTCAAGCGATTTTCTTGCCTCAGCCTTCGCAGTAGCTGGGATTACAGGTGCGCACCAACATGCCTGGCTAATTTTTGTATTTTTAGTAGAGACAGGGTTTCACCATGTTGGCCAGGCTGGTCTCTAACTCCTGACCTCAGGTGATCCACCCGCCTCAGCCTCCCAAAGAGTTGGGATTACAGGCTGAGCCACTGCACCCGGCCTTAAATGCATTTTCGGCTTATATTTTCAACTGATGATGAGCTATAACTCCTTTGTGAGTTGAGGATCATCTGTCTTGAATTTGGTTTTACAGGCATAACTGAAGGTGAAAGGACAGAATCACCGTGTGTTACTGGCACAGATGCATCGGCTAGTGAAGAAAGAAGACATTCAAACTGTAAGTTGCATTCACGTGGGAAGCACAAAGAATTAAATTCAAAACAATGAAACATTAGAGAAAAGCATGGAGTTAAAACACAACAGAATCAGATGTTTACTATTTCTCATTTTAACACTAGTGCTTTGCGGGCTTCTAATAAAGTTGTACTCCAGGAGGCTAAGACTGAAAAGTGACACTAGTGAAAAGTAGCATTGAAATAGTTCCTTAGAAAAGTTGGGTGAATGTGGGGCAAAGATGCCACTAAACTTTAATTTTCCATCGACACACAAATTCAAAGTTTTCCAGAACTGGCAAGTAAAATGGAAGATCCACTCACAGGACACATGCAGTGTGTGAGGGGAATGCTTTTCAGCACTTCTTGATGGATGCACAAATAATGCCAACGTGGTAAATGTCTTTGGTAAATGTGCAATGGAATGCAGTGGTTGTGTGAAGGAAGAATTTTGTTTTCTGCTTCATTTTTGATAAACACAAGCAGCTCTGGACTGTGTGAAACCATGGAGCACCGCACAGTTAACAGAGGTGGTTTGGAGTTTTTTAGCTTTGCATAAGAGGATGTTCTGATGCAGAATCTACAGTGACAGGAAACCATTCTGGACAAGTTACAGAATTAAGGGGCTTGTGCCGGGATGGAAATAAATCAATGACTTCTGTCTTTGAGAAGGTTTTTCTCTGCTCCTCTGTGATGGTTAATTTTTTTTTTTTTTTTTTTTTTGAGATGGAGTCTCGCTCTGTCCCCCAGGCTGGAGTGCAGTGGCGCCATCTCGGCTCACTGCAAGCTCTGCCTCCCGGGTTCATGCCATTCTCCTGCCTCAGCCTCCCAAGTAGCTGGGAGTACAGGTGCCTGCGGCTAATTTTGTGTATTTTTACTAGAGCCAGGTTTCACCATGTTGGCCAGGATGGTCTCGATCTCCTGACCTTGTGATCCACCCGCCTTGGCCTCCCAAAGTGCTGGGATTACAGGCATGAGCCACCATGCCCCACCTTTTTTTTCTTTTCTTTTTTTTTTTCTTTCTTTCTTTCTTTCTTTCTTTTTTTTTTTTTTTTTTTTTTTTTTTGTTAGTCCTTCCCTCCAGTGTCGTGGAGATAATTGGAAAATATTTTAGAGCAAAAAAGTTTATTTCTCCTTCTTGTTGTTAGCAAAGAAATTTATTTTTCCTTCTTGTTATTTATTGGCCTTGGAGACATACACCAAATAGCTCATTCTACTTCTGAAATTTTGTTTTGATTTCCCTGGCCCTCCCCACGAAGTATTTCAGATTAGCAGGGAGTCAAGCATTGTCTGTCTGTCTGTGAATAAAATATTTCAGGCTGCTTTTGCATAATATACATGCTCTTGCCTTTAAGAGTCACACTCACATCTTCTGGTTTTGTAAGACACCAGGTAGAGAAGAAAACAATGTTTCTGAATTCTGCTTTATCAGCCCAGTAGAGAACTCCTCCCTTCCCTGAACTGAGGGCCACATCTAAGGGGTTGAAACAGGGCCAGTTACATTCTATGTTCCCAACATAATTGTCCATGCACGGATCCAATCAAGTTAAATGAGAAATAGGATATTTATTCTAAAAACAAGTTATTGCTACAATAATAATAATACTATAGTAATATTATTCTAATAATGATATTAGAATAAAAACTGGTTATTAAAGTACTAAACAGTTGAAAATCTAAATGTCTCACAAGGTCAACTATAGCAAGTATATAAGATTTCGTATTAGTCGCACGTCAAAAATTATATCCATAAAAGTAATGACATATGAAAACAGTTTATTGATACAGATATAACAAATATAACTAAACTGTGCTGAAATGTATTTTAAAATAAAATATGCCAAAATATTATTGATGATGACTTTGGATGATGGTATTACCACTAAGGTTTCAAATTTAATTTGCCTCTTACTTCTGAGTACTTTTATAAATTTTTAAATAATAAAATTAGTGTGTTAAAAAATATCAAGTGATATCTAGAAATCAGAAAAAGGCATATTGCCAGAGGAGGACCGAGTTAGTAGATTTGAGGCTCCATTAAGTTTTGTTTATGATCAAAAAACAAACAAAAACCAGGCAACAGTGGCAAAAAATATCTCACTTCCTTCCTGGAAAAGTAAATGAGACTACAAAGAATTTCCAAACTTAAAAACTATACATTTCAAGTCTGTTCATAACTAGTGAAGTCACAGTTTCTGAAAACAATGATAAAATTTTAATTGATATTTAATTCATATTTTTTGTTTAAAAAACTATCAGTATTGGAAGATAAATTTCATGGGAAAAGCATTGAATCATTAAGTTTTGCAGTCACAAAGGTAAATATAATTTGCTTAATGCTGCCCTCAGTTTACAATGAGTCTTTAGTATTTTCTAAGCTATGAGTTCACCAAAATATAGGATTGTTTTGCTGTATATAATTTGCTCAGTGATCAAACACTAAGGAGTTACCTATGTTAAGATGTGAATAATAAATTTATGCAAAATTTATGAAAGTGTACATTGTAAAGACAATAAAACTTTCCATTAAATTGGTGGGAAAGGAGCTCAAAACCTAGCTGGGTGATTCATTATTTTAATGACTTCCTGCTTTACTGCAAAACCTCTCTCTTCATTCGGTGTTGGTAGTTTGAACCCCTGTTAAGGATATAGGCTCACAATGAAGCTTCTATAAATTTCTGGACCTCTGTCATGCTGGCATGTGTGTCATTCTCCTTTAGGAATGATGAGGAGACTGGAAAGCGGTTGCTCCAAGGGAAGGGATAATTTTGCAAACCTGAGCTGTCTAAGCTCAGCATGAATTGGAGTGGGCTGCTGACTCAGGCTAGCAGAGGCAGCCAGGAAACATGCAAATCTGCAATCCGTTCTGCCAGGTCTGTCGCAGCAGGTGTCACTAAAGGCACCCCTGTGTGCTTGTCACTGTGGCAGCCTTGACAAGGAAGGTGGAAAGGAAAAAGAGACCCAGTGCTGAACTCCAAGCAGAGATGGGGCTTTTCTCTATGCATATTTTCCCTCCCCTCCCAGCCTGCATTTCCAATAACATATTGATTTATATTTGTATTATGAAACAAAAGTGGTTGTAATCAGATGTTCTTTCCTTTTACACACAATGTTAGCTCCTATTTACATTCCTAACTGAACAATGTCTAGAGAGGTATTTAAACTGATGTAAAACGCAGATAATCTCATGACCAAATGCTTAGCACAAGAAAAAACTTCAATTTGCAAGAGAAGTCCCTCCAAATACAGAAAGGACCAGTATTGTAAGAGGTACCTTAACTAAAATGTAGCAATGTAAGGCGCAGAGCAGGAAGAACTTTTAAGTCTGAAACTTACAACAAGTCAATTTCATAGTCAGTTTCCCTGGGCCTTCCACAACAGCCTCCGGCACCTGTTTTCTCTACAATGGAGGTAACAATAGTAGCTATTTCAGAGTAGGAAATGGCTTAGAGCAGTGCTAGAATATGGTCGTGGCTATATAAAGTTTAGCTATTTATATATTGTAAGAAACCTACGATGTGTTCTTTTATCGGTAGTCAGTAATGGATTTCTTGTGGGAAAGTAGCAGCCTCCTATGGGGGGAACACCCGCAGGTCCCACTAAGTGAACACTGGTGTCTGCTAACCTTTGCCTCTATTTGTCGCAATAATATACTGTCAAGCTGTTCCTTGAGTTAGCAATTTTATTTACATTCTTTTTCTTTTTTTTTTCCTTTCCCTTTTCCTGCCACAGAGTCCCGCTCTGTCGCCCAGTCTGGAGTGCAGCAGCGCCATCATAGCTCACTGCCACCTAGAAGCCGGGGTGAAGCAATCCTCCTCCATCAGCCTTCAGAGTAGCTGGGACTACCTGCGCGGCCCACCACACCCGGCTAATCTTTGTGGTTTTTGTTTTGTTTTCCGTTCTGGGTTTCCGTCGGGCGCAGTGGCTCAGGCCTGCAATCCCAGCACTTTGGAAGGCAGAGGTGGGCGGATCACCCGAGGTCGGAGACCAGCCTGACCAACATGAAGAAATCCCGTCTCTACTAAAAAAAAGAAAAAAACTACAAAATTAGCCGGATATGGTGGCTCATGCCTGTAATCCCAGCTACTAGGGAGGCCCAGGCAGGAGAATCACCTAAATCCGGGAGGCCGAGGTTGCGGTGGGCAAAGATCACACCATTGCACTCCAGCCTGGACAACAAGGGTGAAACTCCGTCTCAAAACAGAGACCGGGTTTCACCATGTTGCCCAGGCGGTCTGGAACTCCTAGGCTCAAGCGATCTGCCACACTCGGCCTTCCAAAGTCCTGGGATCACAAGGGGGAGGCACCACGCCAGGCAGATCTATTCCTTTCTGGTTACTAAATTGGACCGGGGGCGCGGTGGCTCACGCCTGCAATCCCAGCACCCAGGGAGGCGGAGGCGGGCGTATCACTCGAGGTCAGGAGCTCGAGATCAGCCTGACCAACACGGAGAAACCCCGTCTGTACCAAAAAAATAAAACCAAAATTAGCTGGCATGGTGGCTCATGCCTGCAATCCCAGACACTCAGGAGGCTGAGGCAGGAGAACCACCTAAACCCGGGAGGTGGAGGCCGCGGTGAGTCGAGACCACGCCACTGCACTCCAGCCTGCAAAACGAGCGAAACTCCACTCAAAAAAAAAAAAAAAAAAGACAGTGTTTCACCACGTTGCCCAGGCCGGTCTGGAAGTCCTAGGCTCAATCGATCGCCGCGCTCGGCCGTCCACAGTACTGGGATCACAAGCATGAGCTACCACGCCAGGCCGATCTATTCCTTTCTGGTTACTAAATTGGACCGGAGGCGCGGTGGCTCACGCCTGCAATCCCAGCACCCAGGGAGGCGGAGGCGGGTGGATCACCCGAGGTCAGGAGCTTGAGATCAGCCCGACCAACACGGAGAAACCCCGTCTGTACAAAAAAAAAAACACCAAAATTAGCTGGCATGGTGGCTCATGCCTGCAATCCCAGCCACTCAGGAGGCTTAGGCAGGAGAACCACCTAACCGGGAGGTGGAGGCCGCGGTGAGTCGAGACCGGAAAACACTCTAGCCTGGAAAACAAGAGCGAAACTCCGCTCAAAAAAAAAAAAAAAAAAAAAAAAAAAAAAGACCGTGTTTCACCATGTCGTCCAGGCTGGTCTGGAACTCCTAGAACCTGTAGATGTTACCTCATTTGGAAAAAGCATATTTTCAGGTATGATTAAGTTAAGGATCTTGAGGAGAGATTATCCTGGATTGTCTCCGTGGGCATTAAATCCTGGCACATATATCCTTATAAGAGGGAGATAAAGGAGATTTAACTTCAGACAGAAGAGGAGGCCCTGTGACCAAGAAGGCAGAGCCTGGAGTGGTGGAGCTGCAAGCCAATGAATGCCAGCAGCCATCAGAAGCTGCGCAAGTCAAAGGATGGATTTTCCCCTCAGCCTCTGAGAGCACTGGCTCTGCTGAGACCTAGATTTCAGCCCAGTGATACTGATTTTGGACTTCTGATATCCAAAACTGTGAGAAAATAAATTTCTGTTGTTTTAAGTCACCACATTTTTGGTAATTTGCTCTAACAGCCACAGGAAAGTAACATACATGCCTACCTGGGTCCAGTTGTGTCCTGTGACTCCTGCTTTCCTGGGACAGGCAGGCTGCTCCGTGCCTCCTGGCCATCCTACTGGGTGCTGGACGCTGTAGGCTGCTCCATGCCTGTTGGCCATTCCCTTTGGTGCTGGACAGCACTCACATTGTGAAATCCACTGGCCCTGTGAAAAACACCTGGAAATGTTACCAGGAGAGGGGTTAGTTCTCTTTTTGGCAACCCATGTTATTGCTTATGGCTTAATATCTGTGCCTCCAAGATCCCTTCTCTCTGCCTTCATCGATGCCAGGAAAGCAGTCACCTTTTGCCTTTCTTTGCTTCTCAGCAAGTGGCATGTCTCCATGTCACTTTAAGCATCAAGCACACGGAGCCCAATAAGATGCTGAAAAGTGTCTGCCTACAAGGTTACAAGGCGGTGGAGACATTCTGAGCCGGTAACTGCAGGGCTCAGTAAAACCGCTACAGGAAATCTCAAGTTCAAAATGCTGAAGTGAAAAATGGGTGATCACAACGAAGGGAAACACAAACCCCTTCTTTTAAAAACATTATGGTGATAAGGCACAACATAAAATTTACCATATTAGCCACTTGTAAGTATACAGTGCAGTAGTGTTAAAAATATACATGTTGAGTAACGAGTTTCTAGAACTTGCTTCTCTTGGAGAACTGAAACTATAGCCACTATACAACAACTCCCCATTTCTCTATCCCCTGGCTTATGGAAACAACCGCTCTATTTTCTGTTTCTATGAGTTTGACTAATTTCGAACCTAATGTAAGAGAAATTGTACAGCATTTGTCTTTGTGTGATGGGCTGATTTCAATTAGTGTAATGTTTTCAAGGTTCATCTATATTGCAGCATGTGACAGGGCTTCTTTCTTTTTTAAGGCTGATAATTTTATAGTATTCCGTTGCATGGATAGACCACATTTATTCATTCATTTATTTATTTATTTATTTATTTATTTATTTATTTATTTATTGAGACAATCTCACTCTGTTGCCCAGGCTGGAGTGCGGTGGCATGATCATGGCTCACTGCAGTCTGAATCTCACATTCTCAAGCGATCCTGCCGCCTCAGCCTCCTGAGTAGCTGGGACTACAGGCACATGACACCATGCCTGGATATTCGTCTTTCTGTGTAACTGGTTGAGAAACAGGGGAGTAACAGTGAAGAAACGGTCTTAGAATAAATCTGGTGACAGCAGAAGAGAATATGAGACAGATTGTGCTCACACAGCCTTGAAGAGTGTGACAGTATTTGAGGGCCACGCTGTTGTCTTAGAGTGAAGTGAGGAGAACCTGCACTGGTTTGGTAGTCATGGGAATGGAAGGAGGAAAGAAATGTGAAAGCTCATCGGTGGCAGAGTCAAAATGGCTTGGTCTTTGTAGTCAACGATTAAGTGAGAAGGAGGAATTACTGGCTGACTTAGAAGAAGTAAAAAACGTGAAATACCGATAAAACACAAATCTCGTGATTTTAGTCAGCGTAAAGACTAAGCATTGTGTGATTCTAGATATATTATTAAGCAGTTTTGTTCCAGTATTTTATATCCCATATCTTCTAGCTATGACCCTATTTCTTTGTTTCTTGACATAGACAAACATTTTTTAAACTAAGAGCTTTATTGTGATACAGTTTTTGTATGATAAGCCTCACCCTTCAAGTGTACAGTTCAGTGGTTTTTAGTATATTCAGAGTTATGCAGCCATTACCACTCCCTAATTTCAGAACATTTTCATCTCCCCAAAAAGAACCCCGTACCCACTAGCAGTCACTCCCTGTAGCTCTCTCCCCCACCATTGATCCTGGCAACCTCTGATCTAACTTCTATCTCTGTAGATTTGCCTATCCTGGGCATTTCATATAAATAGAATCATACAACAGTGGCATTTTGTGACTGATTTTTCTTTACAGTGATTATAAATCAAATGCCTGAAGACGCTAAGCTTAGGATAGTGTTTGCTGTACAACTTTGATAACTGAACTTTTGTAAAGCTGAAAATGTGACTGTGTCTGTATATGTGGCATATTATCCTTAGATGATCCTTACTTCGATTATTAAGAATTTTTTCCCCTAGTAATCTTCAACTGTCTCAATATTCAGCAGGAACCCCTTGGAGACAAAGATCAGTACGAATTTGGAATACCTATTGACAAAATGAATGTAATTTAATTTAGTACAGTAGTAAAGTCAACCACTTTTAGGTGTTGATGCTGCTGAAAGTGTATATTAAGGAAAAGCTTACTTACCTTACTTTTTGTGGAGGTGCTAGAACTACTTCTGTCTTGTGTTTAGATTTCAAGAAACCTTTGCATGGGCATTATGTGGTTGCACAAATGTACTTCGTTTTGACCTGAAAATGCAAAAACTTCCTTTCTTCCCACTTTCTGAGACTCTGCAACCTTAAAGGAAGAGTGGGGTTCTTTAAAGGAAAGGTGGTGGTGGTTGGGTCATGGGTAACAATGTCTACTGTGTACTTCCTTTCCCAAAACAAGTCCCTGTCTACCGTCAGCATTTCCAAAATTTGAAGGTCAAGTGTGGTGTTAACTCATGAACTAATGACTAGACTTTGAGCGGTTGTGGAAGCAAAATCTCAGTGAGTGCCTGGATGTTCTAATTCTGTTAAGTCAGTGAGTGCATATTCTGTACAATACTCTCTTAGCCCAGTGGCAGGTTTAAGGAGTGGGAGAGAGATTTCTATGTTTCGGAAATCAGATACACAAAGAATAAAAATTTTTAATCCCATGAATCTTTGCCCGAGTTTAATTTCTTGGAGAGTTTTTCTTTTAGATTTTCTTTCCCTTCCATTAAACTTTTACTTAGAAAGGTCCCAGGGTTTGGGCAAAGCAAGTGGGAAAGACACTTGCTTGGGTTCTCCAGGATAAGGGATTGAAGAGGACTTCTTTCCCTCATTTTATTATTGAATAATGTCACAATAACAATTATTAAGGTGAATAGTCTACAGTGGAAGTGTTTAGATGCCTTGTCTGCAAAATAATTTGGTTTAGTCAACCCAAGGATGCCTTTGGTTAGCTGGAATGGGAGATGTGCAGGTTAGAGTGGTCTTGGCAAGTCTTCCAGGGGGAAATACAGCATTTGGAAGGGTAGGAAGCAGAAGGAATCTCAGGCAAGGGAAAGGCGTGGGCAGAGCCCCGGAGGACAGAACAGGTTGTGGTGGACTTGGTGTCCACATAGACCTAATTAGTGGTCTTAGCTTTTGTGTTTTCAAAATTACCACAGTTTGTGTTCTAAAACTGTCATTCTCTTGATTTTATTTTAGATATACTATCTGTGTATTTTGAAATTTAAAATAACAGTAAAGGAGAAACGAATTTATTTTGTTTGAGAAAGAGTTAAAAGGTTAAAACATCTTGATCTTAATAATTTTCTAATGGGAGATTTGGTGCACCCCCAGAAGTTGTCTTTGGTTCAGAGAATAGTCTTCAGATCTAGAAAGGACTTGAGAAGTCCCAGAGAGGTGCTGCATGGTCTGAACCATTTGATTCTCACGACAGAATGGATAAAAACAATTTGAACCAGGAAACCATGCAGATGTTCATATTTTGGATAGGGTAAGGTCAGTGCCGTCGTCAGAGGAAAAACTCTCGGCCATCACAGGATGGGAGAGAAAGTTTGAGTTGTGAAGAATACTCAAATGCCGTTTAAGGAAACGGGTTCTTCTGCACCTATTCTTTGGAATATTTAGGGCTAAGTTCTTAGTTTTTGACATCATAAAAATGTCAAAGTATTCTGTTCTAAGAGCCATTTCAAACAACTGACTAGAATTTCAGAGCAATTACATGAGAGTAATACCATTAAAATGTTTAAATTACCCATAGTCCTATATCCCTAACAAGTATGTTCACGCTTGCATGTTCTCTTCTCATCTTTACTGTGTGCATACTTTCTTAGTAATGGCACGTAGACATTGTTTAAGCAGGAATAATTCTCGAGATAATTTTGTATGTTTCCTTTTTTCTTTTTAAGGTAGGTATTGGGTGGAGGAGCATTATATTTGCAACTTCTCGCAAAACACGTGATTATTTTCTTATAATATTCAATTTTCACCCTCAATAGAGTGTTTTGATTATGTAAGTTAGACAGAAAGTAGAAGGTTCTCTTAGAGAAATTTTAGTGTTTTTTTTTCATAGCTCCTACTTTCAAGAATGAAAAAGGTAAACCAGTAAAATGACACTGTACTTGGTGCTGAATCTATGCTGGGATAGGCATTAAGAGTGACCTTTATTTAAGGTTCTAATTTGCTCATGTTGGGCACTTAGAACGTCAGTTTGTTGCTTTTTGTGAGATTTTGGAAATGGTCCAATTTTACTTTTTCCCCTTGACTCCAGACTTTTTAACACTGATCTGCTGCTGTTGAGGCATATGCCGTTTTGTTAGGCCTCCTCAAGTGGGAGTAAGGAATGCTGCTGTGTTCCAGAGAGGTTTTGTTCTTCCTGTAGGGCTGAAGCAGTGCCTACTCAATAAAACCAGTCATCGTGCAAAGAAATGCCACCTGACTCAAAGGCAAAGCCAGAGTGCAGCTTGGAGCAAAGAAGGTATTTTATTAAGAATTTTACATAAACCATAAGATATATTTTATATTACTTTGCGAGCCTTCTTCCTGTCTTGACTTAATTCTTTTTGAGAGAATTCATTTCATTTTCATTTGGTTGGTTTTCTTCTTGTTACAAAGATGATCTATAGAAAATATAGAAGTATAAGAAAATTAAAGATACTAACTGATAATTGCTTAATGATTTAGTATCTGCTTGTTTAGTCTTTGTTATATTTACAGTAGGCAAACATGTCTACCGTTGTGAATTTATTACTGGTATGTATACCCTAGTAAGTTAAAAGTTGTACGTACTTTGAAGTTTTGCAAAATTGAGTTCATATTATAGAATTAATTCCTGATGAAATTTTATGTGCTAGGCACTGGTCTTTTTATTTAATTATTTATTTTTACTTTTTTTTCCTCTGTGCCTATGCTTACCAAGTCTTTTTATTTTTTACTTTTTATTAACTCTTTTAATCCTCTGGATAAATTAAAAAGAGGGTATTATTAATATCTGCATTTTGTAGATGAGGTAACTGAAGGTAGGTAACTTGTCCAAGGTCACAGGTGGCAGAGCAAGGATTAAAACTAGACAGTCTGGCTGCCCAAGGCCCAAAGAAGAGGAGCTGAGAGCAAGCCACCGGGCAGAAGGATGTTGGTCAGGCTGGTTTCCTGTTCAGTTAACAGGAAACGCAGGCTTAACCTTAATTCTAGGACGTTACCGAGAAAGCCTTCCAAAGCCATAGGTTTTTTACCATGACCATGACTTCTTTTTTTTTTTTTTTGAGACAGAGTCTCACTGTGTAGCCCAGGCTGGAGTGCAGTGGCGCGATCTCGGTTCACTGCAGCCTACCTCTCTTGACAGTCCTCTGGTTAAAGTGATTCTCCTGCCTCAGCCTCCCGAGTAGCTGAAATTACAGGCGCCGGCCACCACGCCTGGCTAGCTTTTGTGTTTTTAGTAGAGACGGGGTTTCACCGTGTTGGCCAGGCTGGTCTTGAACTCCTGACCTCAAATGACCCACCTCTGCCTCCCAAAGTGCTGGGATTCCAGGCGTGAGCCACCGTGCCAGGACCCAAGGCCCTTAAGTTTTAACGTCTCATTCTTCAGTCAGGTTTTCCTTGTTCCTGCGTGTTCAGCCATTTGTTTTTAAGTTTGTGTTGAAGGAGAAACTAACAACGAAAATGGACTTGTTGACGGAAGAAAAGTAGGAATGCAGCCTCTGGTGCTGTTTGAGTGATCCCTCTGCCCCAGGCCTGGCTGCGCGCTGCTGTGTTCTGGAAAGGCGCATTGTGCCCTCGCTGTGGCAGGTAAGAGTCCTGTACAGGTGCTCTGCCCACTTTACCTTTCAGGCTTCTGTATCAGCTGTTTTTCCCTTGTAGAATGTGCCCCTGACCTGTGCCCCTGACTTCCACCCCTTAACCCTGCCCAATACATCTTTACATGTCTGACCATCAAGACTCTTCTGGGTCATATTCAGTTCATGCTGATATTTTCCCTTCCTCCCCTCTTTAGTCCTTACTATTTTTGCTTTGGTCATGTTATGCTATATTCTGTAAGCCTTTAAAAATTTTGTTGTATCATGTCAGGGGAGAATATTTTATAATTATGCTTTGTGCGTTTTATCTTCCACTCAATGAATGCTTGGTAAATATTTGTTTTATTGAGTATATGACCCTTTTCTAGCTATACCGTGAACAAAAATGTTAACTGCCTTGTACGTTAACTGCTAAGAATTTGTCAAAAGTGCAGAGATGACATCCAGAACTTGTCAGAATATTACAAAAAGGTCTCTAAGGGCATGATGGAGGTCTGTAAATTGACTTCATGTGAAAGAGTGTAAGAAGTGAAAATGTGAAGCATGACTGGAGAGCCGGAGTGATAAAGCAAGGGTCCCTTTCTCCAGATCCTTTGTAACAGTGTCATGTGACCTCTTCTAGATCATTCTGAAAGACAATGCCAGCTCGGAACCTAGGAAAGCATCCAGTGGGTTTCTGCATGTTAGGTGGTTCAAATCCTCATTAGCACCTTTGTTTTCTCTGCCTCAGTTTGCTTACAGTGATGTTCTCAGTAGCTGTAATTG
Source organism: Homo sapiens (assembly GCF_000001405.40). Lineage (NCBI taxonomy): Eukaryota > Metazoa > Chordata > Mammalia > Primates > Hominidae > Homo > Homo sapiens. Next base: position 2,106,546 of record NW_012132920.1, read on the forward strand.
CTGTCTGTCTTTGAATATTTAAGCATTTTTTTTTTTAGATCACAGGGTATATGTGCATTTTTATTTTACCAAGTGTTAGAATTTTTACTCTGCCTTTGTGGGCTCTGGGTTAGCTACTTGGCTGTTTCATCGTAAAATGATTAGCAGGAAAAACTGTGTGTGTGTGTGTGTGCGCGTGTGTATTTTAAGTTTCTTAATTGGGTTGGTACATGTAAACCATTTAGAACAGTGCCTGCTGCATATCACATCCCCATCAGTATTCACGTCTCTCATATTCTACCCTCACACTTGATTGATAGTTTGCTTGATTACGTATTTCTAGGTTGAGGATAATTTTACCTTAGAATTTCAAAGTCTGTGCTGTTGTCTTCTAACCAGTCGTGGTGGCGAAGCCTCATGCCATCCTGAGTTTCACTTGTTTATGCATGACTTTCTCCCTGGAAGCTTTTAGGAGTTTGTCTTTTCCTTGGTGAGCTGAAATAGCACAACAGTGTACTTAGTGTGGGTCTTTTTTCATTCATTATGCTGGGTACACCAAATGAACAGGCCTATGGATAGGCTCTTTCAAAGTTGGAGTCTTGAATCTTGTCATATTTTTGTTGTTAACTTTCTCTTTTCCATTTTATTTGTTCATTTGGAAGTGTCTGTTAATTGGATTTTAGACCTCTTGTCTTGAGTCTTATATCTCACGTTATTTCTAAATGTTTTTTAAATTTTCAGTTCTGGAATATTTTCTTATCTTTCGACTTTCAGGAAATTTTATTTGGACTGTCATAACTTTAAGTTTTGTTTTGGTTATTTATTGTTGCTTAACCAATTATCCCAAAACCTAATGGCCTAAAACTACACATCTGTCTATCTGTCACGACTGTATGGATTACCTGGGGCTAGCTGGACAGTTTTTCTGCTGGTCTCATTTGGCAGCTCTCACTGTGTGGTTAAACAGTGTCAGGGACTGGTCATCTGGATGCTCAGCTGCAGTGGAATGTCTGAGACGGCTTCTTTACCCACAGGTCTGCTGCCTTGGTAATTCTTGATGTGGCCTTTCTCTCTGCATAGCATCTCATCCTCTCGGATCTCTTCATGTGGCTTTTCTTTCTCCAAGAAGGTAGCCAATTCTTATTTTTGGCTTCCAGAAGCACAGAAATGGAGCTGCCAGGAGTTCTTAAGGCTTAGACCTGGAACAGGTCCAGTGTCATTTCTACCACATGCTATAGGTTAAAGTGAGTGTTGGGGCCAACCCAGATTGACTATGGGATGGGCCTGTCTGAGGACATGATGACAGGAGGTATGGCTCATTGGAGACCAACTCCCAAGATGGAGCATGAGTTCTAAGAACTTTTTCTTCTCTGATTATTTCTTATTCATATTGTTTTGTTTTATACATGTAATATATTCACAAGTGTCTTTATGAAGTGATTTTGATACTCTTTGTCTTCTCCCTGGCATCTCCTTGTTCTTTAATAATTTTTTTCTTAGTTTATTTTGGTCTTATTTTTCTTTTTAAAGCCTTTCCTTAAATATCTATTCTATGTTGCTTATCATTTGTAGTCTTTTTTTTTTTTTTTTTTTTTGAGACCCAGTTTCGCTCTTGTTGCCTAGGCTGGAGTACAATGATGTGATCTTGGCTCACCACAACCTCTGCCTCCAAGGTTCAAGCAGTTCTCCTGCCTCAGCCTCCCAAGTAGCTGGGATTACAGGCATGTGCTGCCACACCCAGCTAATTTGTGTATTTTTAGTAGAGATGGGATTTCTCCATGTTGGTCAGTCTGGTCTGGAACTCCCAACCTCAGGTGATCCACCCACCTCGGCCTCCCAAAGTGCGGGATTACAGACATGAGCCACCGTGCCTGACCTGTAGTCTTTTTTCCATTCCTTTATTTGTTCATTCATATTTGAGAGAGGTACTAAAAGACTGGGAGCCGAGGTGTGGTGGCTCACACCTATAATCTCAGTGCTTTGGGAGACCGAAGTGGGAGGATCACTTGAGCCCAGGAGCTCAAGAATAGTTTGGGCAACATAGTGAGACCCCATCTTTACAAAAAAAAAAAAAATAGCTAGGTGTGGTGACACCCATCTGCAGTCCCAGCTACTTGGGAGGCTGAGGCAGGAGGATTGCTTGAGCCCAGGAGGTTGAGGCTGCAGTGAGCTCTGATCATGCCACTGCATTCCTGCATTCCAACCTGGGCGAAAGAGCAAGACCCTGTCTCAAAATAAATAAATAAATAAATAAATAAATAAAAATAAAAATAAATAAAAATTGATTGGGAGTTCTTTGTGGCCAAGACTTGTCAACTGATAGCTTTAAGGGGAATGTATGCTGATTCCTAATTGTTATCCTCCATCCCTCTATCTTATCTCCTGTTGCAATCATAAATGATGGCTGGATGACTACTCCATTCCTCTGGATGTAAAATCTACATTCTCTTGCCTGAGGTGGATACGTTTGCTTGGGTTCTGTTTAAGGAGATGGGGCCAGCAGTGTGTTTCAGGGCCTGTGAAATGTGTTCTCTATCCGGGCTTTTGCTTAATCTCTGTTTTCAGTCTTGCCTATCAGTCCCACTGTCGGGGGTACCTCGTGTCTGAGTCTAGAACCTTTCCAGGTTGCTGTGGGACAGATTAGCCTCCTTGTTCTCAGTATCCCCCTGACCTCCACCTTTATTGCTTTGCTCCATGAATTAACCATTTTCCATGTACTGTCATTGTCTAATGAAGATGAATTCTCTTCTGTTGGTAACCCCATTCCTTTTTTGTAATGGTGTGCTTATACAATGTTTATTCTTCACTGTATTTCTATTGGAGCCTCAGGACAAAGAGCAGATGGTGAGAATCTGTGTTCAGTGTTAAGTTTTCCTTCTGTAAGACATGTGCAACTTGTGTTTTTCACTGAATAGATCATGGACTTAATGCATATAGAGCTACTTTGTTTTTCATGATTGTGCCTTCAATTATATGTAGAAATATAATTTGTGAATTGCCTGATGAAATTTTCCTAATTTTGAATTATCTTTGCATTCCTATAATAAACACTGTTAGAATGGCTATGGTAATATTTTATTTTTGCATTTTTACTTCTGTATTAAATAAGATTATAGTTTTGTTTGTTTCCTTTAAGGCTGTTATTTCAGTATCAAGGGTATGCAGGGCTGAGTTGGGAAGCTTTACATCTTTTTTCTAAGATCTAGGATGTAGATCTGGTTTACACAGTAATTTTCAACTGCAGGAGTATTTTGCCTCCTATGGGACGTTTGGAAATATCTGGAGACATTTTTGTGGTCACAACTGGTCATGGTCGGGAGGTCTCATTGGCATTCTGTGGGTAGAGGGAATGTTACTAAATGCCCGACAACACACCAAGAGAACCCTCCACAAAGAATTATCTGGCCCAATATATCAATATTGCTGAGGATGACAAATTCTGGTTTAAATATCCAATTTGGAGGATGAGTCTTTGTCTTTTTCCTTCTTCTGCATATTGGTCTCCAGATTTCCCACTTCTTCAGTTACTTCTCGTAACTGTAGGTTCTTAAAAAAAAATGAACACTTTGGATGGGTGCGATGGCTCATGCCTGTAATCCCAGCACTTTGGGAGGCCGAGGCGGGTGGATCACGAGGTCAGGAGATCGAGACCATCCTGGCTAACATGGTGAAACCCTGTCTCTACTAAGCCAAAATACAAAAAATTAGCCAGGCGTGGTGGCGGGCGCCTGTAGTCCCAGCTACTCGGGAGGTTGAGGCAGGAGAATGTTGTGAACCCGGGAGGCGGAGCTTGCAGTGAGCCAAGATCACGCCACTGCACTCCAGCGTGGGTGACAGAGCGAGACTCCGTCTCAAAAAAAAAAAAAAAAAAAAATGAACATGTCATCCATACTTCTAAGGTGTTGTAAAGATGTGTAAAGTTTTCACTTTTTGCATCATATTCACATGTGGCTATATGCCCTTTTCTCTTCAAAGTTTTCTTTATCTTGATTACTTATCAGAGGCTTGACTGTTTTATTATCTCAGTCTTTTGAAAGAATCCTCCTTTAGTTTTATTTTTTAAATCTAGTGGTTTTTCTTTTTCCTTTTTCCTTAGGTGTTAATTATTTCCCCCTTTTTGTTTGTTTTGCTTTTCCTAGTTTAGTGGATCAATGTAATTTAAATTGCTTTTTAAACAAACGTGTAAGGGTATACATTTTCGTTGGCTGCTGTTTGACTTTGTTGCACAAGTTTTAAAATCTATTTTTTAATAGTTTGTATTTTCTAAATTATTTTATTGCATCTTTTGTTCACATTGCTCTTACTATTAATTTTTTATTTTAATTAATTAATTAATTAATTAATTGAGATGGAGTCTTGCTCTGTAGCCCAGGCTGGAGTGCAGTGGCATGATCTTGGCTCACTGCAAGCTCCACCTCGGGGGTTCATGTCATTCTCCTGCCTCAGCCTCCCAAGTAGCTGAGACTACAGCTGCCTGCCACCACATCCGGCCTTTTTTGTATTTTTAGTAGAGATGGGGTTTCACCGTGTTAGCCAGGATGGTCTCGATCTCCTGACCTCATGATCCACCCACCTTGGGCTCTCAAAGTCCTGGAATTACAGGCATGAGCCACTGCACCCGGCCCAAAAGCTTTGTGCTTTTACAGATATTAGACATGTTTCTTGTTTAAGAAAAAAAATCTTAACGAAAACGTAGGAGAATAAGAGAAACATTTTTCCAAAAAAGAGAAATCATTGTGATTATTTTATCTTATTAGAATGTTGGATAATATAGTCTGCTTCATTAATCATCAAGCATGCTATGCATTTTCCATTTTTATAGGATCTGTATCTCAGTTAAGGTAATACTGGTAATTTTTGTACTGTAATCAAAGATGAAAAATATAGGCCAAAATCATAGACCTTGCATAGAAGCTGGATAATGAAGACAGCTATGGAGAAAAACATAGATACACACACATGGACACACATATATATAAAGTATACACACATATATTTTTTAAAGTTTTAAAGCTTTTAAAGCAAAAGCCAGCCCCTCTTCTCTTCCAGAGTGGGAGGCCTCTCCCCTCTCTTAGAGTGGGTGGGGAGAGCGGTTGCCATGGGCAGCTTTCCTTGTGAGCCACAGGGCCCTCTGGACACGCTGCTGTCTGGCCACGCCCCCTTTCCCTTTCATCTTTCTCATTGACCAATGGGCTTGGAGCATTAAGGCCACGCCCCTATTCCGCATTCTACTGGGGCCCTGGTTACGCCTCCTCTGGCTCAGTCACACAGCTGCCTGGTAGGTGACTGGAGGCCTTGATCGGTTCTTATTGGGATTTTGCTGCTGTGGCCCCAACCCTTCCTCCCTCCCCACCCTGCGATGGCAGAAGAAACTCAACACAACAAATTGGCTGCAGCCAAGAAAAAGGTAAAAACGCACTAGGTCATAGCCCCTCAACCCAGCCACAGATCCCCTCTGATGACAAGACCCCTGCCAGAGTCTATACGACTCCTGAGGCACACTGGACTGGTCCCCCCAACCCCGGTGCCTTGGGCTACCCCCACCAAAGTTTTGTCAGTCAGCCCCACCCCTTCAGCAAGCAGCCCAGTCCTTGCCCTCGCCAATCACCCCAGGGTGACTTTGGGTGGGTGACTCCTGGGGCTTCCCGCTCCATTACTGGGCCGTCATCTCCTGCCGCCCCAAGCTTGATCTCCGTGGGCTCTTTGGGCTCTCATCTCCAAGGAGCCAGGCCCCACCCTCGCCAGTCATCCTTGGGTGACTTTGGGCTGGTGACTCCTGGGAATCCCTGCTGCAGACTGTGCCCTCCCCTCCTGCTGCCTCAAGGTCGACCTCCCTGGGTTCTTTGTGCTGGCGTCTCCAAGGAGCTGGGTCCCAACCCTGTGCTTCCCTCCCCCATCGTGGAGCAGCGACTTGGACATGGTGCTGACATGGTCCCTCCCCCCGACCAGGAGGAGTGGAATGTTGTGATGTCACAGTCCACCTAGTAACTGCCGTTACTGCAAGACTGGCCTTTGACCTTACGACCCAGTCCCCTAAGCGTTCTCACCCCGTCTCTGGTTCCTCTGGTCACAGCACAAATTTCCAGCTGGAAGGGGAATGGAGACTATGGGACCTAGGAGCAAGAGGTTCCAGGCTGCCTCACTCCCTTACAGATGTTGACGGTGGGAAAAGCCTACACTTCCCCCATGAACTCAAAACATTGACAGTATCTCTGGGTGGCAATGAGAGAATGGGTTTGATTTGGTTTTCTCCCAGGCTTCTACTTTCCAGAGAGATTTTAACATTTTTTTCTGAGTTCTCCACCTCATATTCTAATTCTCCATGGTTCTGGGACCAGACTCTCCTTCAGTCAGTGGTCTCTGAAGTGAGATTTGCTCATCTTCTGTGGAATAGATCCTGGGAAACTGAACTTGACACCTTGAATCTTCCTCATATTATCTCAACCTTGGGTACTTTGAGTGCCACAGGATAAATGTGGGACATCTTTCTGAAGCATCAGTTTCCCTTGATTCTCTTGAGATCAAGAGAAAAAACATGAATGTACTTAGGGATGACAGTCACATAGGTTTCTAAGAGTATACCAGACCTCTCTCTGAAATGAGGCTTGGGTTGTCCTCTTTCTGATAAATTCTGATTTAAGAGAAAGGCTGCCTTCTGCCATGAGGACACATTGATATAAAAGTTTGAGAGGTACTGGTGCACTTCTTCACACTAACAGACGTGTGAGGATGTATGACTAAACCACATGGCATACAGTTCCTGCCTACTTAATGTTTACTTTTCTACCTCTGCCTCTGGTTTTGGTCCCTGGCAGCTGCTGATTCTTGGCAAAACCTCAGAGCTTGGAGTCAGAAGACTGAGTCTCAAAGTTCCAGTATTGCCTTTTTCTTTTTTTTTTCTAGCCATGATATCAATCCTTCTCAGTCACTAAATGAGTGTGACAACACCTTGTACAGTTGTTGGTGTCATTAAATCAGATGGTGTGTAAGTGTATTTTGTAAAAGCTGTAAAGGAGGTTGTGGCTGTAGGGGCTGACGGTTCTCATGACTATTACTGCTCTCCTTTCCAACAGTTAAAAGAATATTGGCAGAAAAACAGACCTAGAGTTCCAGCAGGAGTGAACAGGAACAGGAAAACAAATGGCAGTATCCCTGAGACAGCCACTTCCGGTGGTTGCCAGCCACCTGGGGATGTGAGTCTTGGCTGACCAGGCTTCTGGGGACAGGGGGCCCAAGGGGCAATAGAGGGTAATTCTTAAGATTGTGGATGGACTGCTGGGTACTGGTTAAGAATTCTGGCTTTAGCCGGGTGTGGTGGCCCACGCCTGTAATCCTAGCACATTGGGAGGCCAAGACAGGCGGATCATGAGGTCAGGAGATCGAGACCATCCTGGTTAACACGGTGAAACCCTGTCTCTACTAAAAATACAAAAACATTAGCCACGCGTGGTGGCGTGTGCCTGTAGTCCCAGCTACTCAGAAGGCTGAGGCAAGAGAATGGTGTGAACCTGGGAGGTGGAGCTTGCAGTGGCCAAGATTATGCCACCGCACTCCAGCCTGGTGACAGAGCAAGACTCTGTCTCAAAAAAAAAAAAAAAAGGAATTCTGGGTTTGAATCCTGCCTCTCCATCTGCTCTGCTAGGGATATGATTTAGGGCAAGTTGCTTGACCTCATTGGGCCTCTCTTTTCACATCTGTATAATAGAGGTGTTATTGTTTCACTTCCATTTGTGAAGTTTAAATGAGATTTGTTATTGTTGTTTTTATGTTAATCCCTAGTACATGGCCTGCTGTAAACACTCAGGACACCCAGGATATGGTTTGATTTTCCTCATCCCCAGTCTCAAGGGGAAACCAGGACAAAGAGAACAGCCACTTGCCATCAGGAGTCACTGAAGGGGCCCCAGGATGGGATGGTGGGGAGATAAGAACCATGAGAGAAGTTGGCACAAAGGAGTTATGGGACAAAAGGTCCAAGATAGGCAGAAAAGAAAATGTTGCAGTTGATGGGGAAGAAAGGAAGTCAGAGGGCTCAGACACTGTGGGGGACAGAACATCTCCATGTGCACTCTCATCTCTTGTAGTCAGCAACAGATTTCCACAGGGAAGGCCCTACATCATCTGCTACCCTGAAAGATCTGGAGGTAAGAGGCTCTGGGTGGAGGTGCAGTGACCCTTCGGGTCAACCCTCCAACCTCCTCCTCCAGGTGGGACTGGGTGCCCCTCTGCCAGCTGAGACAGCCCACACACCCCAGCCCTAACGATCGTTCTCTCTACCTCTCTCCCCACTCCTGCTCCACCTCCTCCTCTCTGCATGCACCTCAGAGCCCGTGCCAAGAACGAGCAGTAGTCCTGGATTCAACGTCCGTAAAAATCAGTCGACTGAAGAACACCATCAAATCTTTGGTAAGAGTCCGGTGGGGTCCCCTGATTCCACGCTGCCAATCCTGGGCTCCAGTTTCCCCTTGGGGCCCTGAAGAAAGGGGCTGGGGGTCCCTGGTGCCCGGGACAAATAGGGAGCTTGGGTGCCCAGGCCTCACCTGGAGGGACCCCAGAGCATGCAGCATGGCTCTTCTTTTGCTGCCCTCTTTGCCGACTCTCTCCTCTCCAGACACCCCTGCTCGAGTCCTTGCTACACACGCCCTGGGGTTGTTGCCTCTTGGGGAAGTGCTAGCCTGACTGGTTGTCAAGGGCCCCGTATTTCTGCCATGATTCAGTCCCTAATTTGCTCTTTGATTCTGGACAAGCCACCTCTCCTTTTTGGGCTCGTGTTTCCAGAGGAGGTAGTGAGTATCAAAGGTCTCTGTTAGCTCTCGAGTCTGAGATTTAAAGGCCCCCGGGAATGGAAACCTCAGGGCTAAGGGCTCCTGTCTGTCCTTTTCCATCCTATATCTGCTGTGAAGAACCGTACCTGGCCCATACGTGCTCAGTAAGTGTTTATTGAATGAACCCACTTTTCTAAATCACAAGCTGCCAGAAGGAGGGGCCTTTCTGAAACTCCATCTCTAGAGGTTTATGTTGCTGTCCTCTCAAGAGATTCCAGATTCAGACTGAGTTCTGTGGCTGTGGGCAAAAGCCAACAAAGACCCAAATCCTCTGTCCTTGGGAGCTTGAGGAGAGTTTACCGGTTCGTGTTCCCATTATGTCTGAGAACTTTGCCTTTAAAATCCATTCCTGGCCCCTGCCTACCGCTTCCTGGTCTGGGGAATAGAGTTGAGGGGGCCACCCTCCATCACCTTATTTGACTCTCCCCACAGAAACAACAGAAGAAACAAGTGGAACATCAGCTGGAAGAAGTAACGTGATTTCGTTTCCTCGCGACATGACTGCTGGGTTTGGGGGGCACTCAGACATAGAGGCCCCAGTCTCGTCTCACCCACTCCCAGCCTGGGGAAGAAGGCTGACCCCTCAGATTCCACCCCATCCCCACAGGGCCCCTGATAACCTGGTCCCATGGGTGGGCCTGTCCTGGGGCATTGGTGGCATTCTGGGGGCATGTCTCTTGCTGTGCCATCTCTGCCTCCCCCTGGTAAGAGCTCTGTCTTCTTCTTCCTACAGGAAAAGAAAGCAAACAACGAGAGACAGAAAGCCGAAAGGGAGCTAGAGGTGAGTGGAGGGTGTGCAGTTTCCTCCTGTCCTCCGGAGAACGTTTCTTTCCTTCTCTTTCAGCACTTGCTTGGCTTTTCTCCCAAAGGTTCAAATCCAGACATTGATCATACAGAAAGAGGAACTAAATACGGACCTGTACCACATGGAACGTTCTCTCAGATACTTTGAAGGTGGGAATCTGGGCACCCTGTCATCCTTCAACCTGGCACTTTGACAGGTCTTCAGGGGGAGTCCTTTGGGCCCCATCTCAACTCTCTCATTACAGAAGAGTCCAAGGACCTGGCTGTCCGCCTGCAACATTCATTGCAGTGTAAAGGAGAGTTAGAGAGCGCTCTGTCTGCTGTCATCGCCACAGAGAAGAAGAAGGCAAACCAGGTGAGTCCAGCCACCTGCCCCATCCCCTGGGAGCCTGGTTTTGCAGATGGAGGAGTGAGCCTAAAGGTCCCTTCTGCAGGATGGCGTGTCCTGCCCAGAAGGCAGCATGGCCATTTCTTGCTACTTTTTTGTATGGTTTTTAGTGGCAGCCTGGGGCCGAGTCAGCTGCTGTGGGTGAGTTGGGGGGTACTGTGGGGAGTGAGCACTGGACGCAGAGCTTGGAGGCCAAGTGCCTGCCCCGCCCTTACCTGGCTGTGGTCTTGGGCAAGTCCTAGGTGGGGTATTGGGTACTTGTACTGTGAAGGTACAGAAGAGTACCTTTAGTATGTTACCATTTCTGTAGAAAGAGGAAACGCGTGCATGTGTGTGTGTGTGTGTGTGTGTGTGTGTGTGTGTGTGTGTGTGTGTACATACTGTGATAATATACATAAAACATGTCTGCAAGGGTTCATAAAAAATTCAGGAGAGAGAACAAGATGGCTGGGAGATACTTCCCTTCTGTACCTTCTGAGTTTTGGACTATGTGAATGTATCATCCTTTCAAAAAGTGAACAAAAGATTAATTTTCCCCTTCCTATCTGTGCCCCCATCCCCAGCAAGAAAAATGGGCTTAGAGAATTGGATAGACCTGGGTGTTTATATCCCAGCTCTGCCTAAGTGAACTTAGGCAAGCACTTAACCTCAAATACTCCATGTTTTTTCATCTCCACAATAGAGGGAATCATAGTAACTGTCTCCTATGGTGGTTGCGAGGATTAAATGGGATTGTTAGCACGGTACCTGGTGAAGCATTCCACAAAGGTTCAAACAGTGGTAATAATGACAATAATAACAACAGCAATATTATCTGATCTCTCTGGGCCTCTGTTAGCCAGCTATAAACTCAGTCTCATTCCCTGTCCGTTCCAACTTTACTGTGTTCTTTTAAAAACCAGACCACGGGCTGGGAAATGCCTTGATCTTTACTGACCGAGTTGTATATTGGGCCTAGCCCTAGCCCTGTTAAGGGGCACTGTGTGGAAATGCCCAGGCTCTCCAGATTGAAACTTCTCACTCTTCACCATCCAGTTGTCCAGCTGCAGCAAAGCACATACAGAGTGGGAGTTAGAGCAGTCCCTACAGGACCAGGCACTGCTGAAAGTGCAGCTGACACAGGTGAGGTTTTCCGAGGGAGGGATGTGGAAGGACGATGACCCCAGGTGGCCAGGAGCAGGTGAGGACCAGTGACAGCCCTTCCTAACTTCTGTGCCCATTCTTGCAGTTGAAGGAGTCATTTCAACAACTCCAATTAGAAAGAGATGAGTGTGCTGAACATATAGAAGGAGAGAGGGCCCGGTGGCATCAGAGGATGAGTAAAATGTCGCAGGAGGTGAGATCTGACCCTTCAGCCCCCCCACATTAGATAGGTCACTGGATCTTTCTGGGCATCTGTAAAATGGGAATAGTAGAGCCAGAGGTGGTCATGGGTCTGGGCTTTGTGGAGGTGGGGGCAGAGAGGGAGAGGGCAGCCTGTCCAGCCACCAGCCCCTCTCTCCAGGGCCCTTTCCCCCTGTGCTTTGGGCAGATTTGCACATTAAAGAAAGAGAAGCAGCAAGATATGCGTCGGGTAGAGCAGCTGGAGTGGAGCTTGTCCAAACTCAAAAACCAGACGGGTAAGATGGGGCTGGCATGACCTGGGAGCAGGACTGGCATCAGAGGGCTGTGAGGGTGGCTTAGAGTGCCCCAGGGAGGTGGGTGGATGGAAGGGCTTTGAGGCAGAGGGAAAGAGATCTGTGCCAGGAGACCGCAAGTCTTGTCATCTCAGTGAGTCTCAGTGTCTCAGTGTCCCCATCAGCAAAGAGGGCCCGTTGTCAGCCACCCGCAGTGCTCTTTCTCTGAAAGTGCTTTGGAAGACTGGCTACCATCTGGGTGCGAGGAATCATTAGCAGTGAGGCCAAGTTTGAGGAGCCTGAGAGGAGCTGTGCGCCAAGAGGAGGGTTTTTCTTTTCCGAGAATCCAGAGGCCCTTATTATCTGCTTCCTTTGTCAGCTGAACCCTTGCCCCCGGAGCCCCCAGCAGTGCCCTCTGAGGTGGAGCTGCAGCACCTGAGGAAGGAACTAGAGAGAGTGGCAGGAGAGCTCCAGGCCCAGGTCAAAAACAATCAGCACATAAGTCTCCTGAACCGGCGACAAGAAGAGAGGATTCGGGAACAGGAAGAGAGGCTTCGGAAGCAGGAGGAGAGGCTTCAGGAGCAGCACGAGAAGCTTCGGCAGCTGGCCAAGCCACAGAGCGTCTTCGAGGAGCTGGTGCGTTGCCCCAACTGGGGAGCCTGCCCTCCTCCGTAGCCCTCCGGGCCTTTGTTTCCCCACCTCTAAAATGGGGCAGTGTAGCCCTCACGTGAAAGGTTACTTCTAAAGGCACCTGTGAGCCAGGTGGCTGTGGGAGAGAGGGGGTGATTTTTCTAACCTGCCTCCAGCCTTCCCAGTGCCATGGGAGGCAGACACCAAGTTCTGGGGTCTCCAGCTGCAGTGGGTGGCTGCTGATTGCTTCTCTCTGTCCAGAACAATGAGAACAAGAGCACACTGCAGTTGGAGCAGCAAGTAAAGGAGCTACAGGAGAAGCTTGGCGAGGTGAAGGAGACGGAAACCTCCACCCCATCCAAGAAGGGCTGGGAGGCGGGCAGCAGCCTCTTGGGAGGGGAGGTGCCAGGTCAGAGGCAGCTTCCAGCCTGGGGGCTGGTGACCACAGCACCCCCCAGGGCAGTCCTGCGACTGTTTCTCGCTTCCTGCCTCTGACTTTTAAAGGTGGGTAGCCCTGGGCTCCTCTCAGGTCTGGACATCATCATCCCAGCTAGAGGCATGGAGCCCCCAATCACAGGGGAAGAGACAGTGCTATAACAGGCTCCTTATACCAGGTGCAGTGGCTCATGCCTATAATCCCAGCACTTTGGGAGGCTGAGGCAGAAGAATCACTTGAGGTCGGGAGTTTGAGATCAACCTGGCCAATGTGGTAAAACCTCATCTCTACTAAAATTAAAAAAAAAAAAATTAGCAGGGCATTGTGGCGCATGCCTGTAATTCCACCTACTCGGGAGGCTGAGGCACGAGAATTGCTTCAACCCAGGAGGTGGAGGTTGCAGTGAGCTGAGATTGCACCACTGCACTCCAGCCTGGGCCACAGAGTGACACTCTTGTCTGAAAACAAAACAAAAAGACTCCTTAGATTGAAACTGGATTCCAGCCTCGGTTCCACTGGTCACCATTCAAGTACTTTGCATCTCTAAGTCTCTGTTTCTTTAACTTCAAAGGGAAGTTAGCATTTTCCTTACAGAGGTGCTGAGGATTAAATGAGAAGAGGGTATGAGATTTGAGGCTGGGGAAGGAGGCATGGGGTTCTAGGAAAGGGAGGCAGTCACTTAGGCCTGGAGTAAGGGGACAGGGGCCTGGGTAGCTGACAGAGCCCCACAGTGCCCTCGCTACCCTATTAATGGGCCCAGAATCTGGAAACCAGCCACCACGTGCCCTCACACCCAGGGTCTTCCTGCAGGTGGAGCTGAAGAGCCAAGAGGCTCAGAGTCTGCAGCAGCAGCCAGATCATTACCTGGGTCACCTGCAGCAGTACGTGGCCACCTATCAGCAGCAGGTGGCCGCCTATCAGCAGCTGACCTGTGAGAAGGAGGCGCTGTACAGGCAGTGACTGCAACAGACCCAGCTAATGAACCAGCTGCAGCAGTAGGAAGCTTGGGGCAAAGCAGTGGCCGAGATGGCCTGCCAAAAGTTGCAGGAGACCCAGGGGAGGGAGCTGCCGAGGATGGGGCTGTGAGGGGGACGACCTGGCAAACTCCATCCCTTCTCACTCTTTCCTGGCCCCTTAGGAGCACCTGGAAGCGGCCAGCCAGCAGAACCAGCAGCTAACGGCCCAGCTGAGCCTCATGGCTCTCCCTGGGGAAGGTACGGGAGACTGCTCAGAGGAAGAGGAGAGAGCCCCAGGAGGAAGGGGGGACTGCTAGCAGCATAGGATTGAGGAGTTGGAAGAGACCTTTAGAACAGCTGGTCATTATGCCGACCGGGTGCCTGCACTAAGTTCGGCATCAGTGTGGTGACCTCCTGTGAGCGGGCGGTCACCAAGTTGCCTAAGGGTGGCTGAACTGGCCAAGGTCAGAAAGGGAGCAGGTCAGAACTCCCACATCGACCAGTAGTGGGAGTGTGCCTGGGCGGAATAGCAAGATCTTGATTCTTAAAAGTAAAAATAAAGAACAACAGCTCATTCCTCTCTGGGGAGGGGCTGGCTCAGGGTTACACAGTGAGGGTGGAGGTAGAGGTGGGCCCACAGTACCTCCCTTGTTGGGTTGTCTGAAGACCCCTCTGGCCACCCCCCACAGGACACGGAGGAGAACATCTGGACAGTGAGGGGGAGGAGGCACCTCAGCCCATGCCGAGTGTCCCAGAGGACCTGGAGAGCAGGGAGGCCATGGTGAGCCTGACTCCCCCTGCACCCATTTTGCCACCTTTCTCTGTGGTCCCTCCAAGACCCCTTTATGCTCTTCGTTTCCCTGCCTTCTGATTTCTCTGGACCCTCACCCCTTCCGAGAGCCAGTGGTCAGACACCATTTCACCTGTGGCCAACAGGTGCACTCTCTGAGGCCCCAAGGGAAGGGGCTGCGCTCCACCTCTCTGCCCCATTTCTTCTGTGTATGCCCCTAGAAGAATGCTCACATCTTGCCCTCAGGTGGCATTTTTCAAGTCCGCTGGAGCTAGTGCCCAGGAGAAGCAGGCACAGTTACAAGAGCAGGTGAAAGAGCAGAGGGTGTGCTGCCAGCGCCTGGCTCACCCGGTGGCCTCGGCCCAGAAGGAGCCAGAGGCAGCCAGAGGCCCTGGAGCCCCAGGGCCTGGGGGCGAGTCTGTGAGTGGGGAGACCCACTGGGCCCTGCAGGAAGTCACGGAGAAGCTGGCCCATGCCAGGACTCACCTCCGCCTTCTCCATGACTTGAAAATGCCACCTGAGGGCAGGTCGCTGCCGAGATGTGACTGCAATATTTTGGCTCCAGAGCAGCTTTATGGACCACCTGAAGGAGAAGGCAGACCTGAGTGAGCTGGTGAAAAAACAAGAACTTCGCTTCATTCAATACTGGCAAGAGAGATGCCATCAGTGAGTGGGAGGCCAGGGCACGGCAGGGGGAGCTACAGGGCCATCAGAGGGGCCCCAGCATCTGAGCCCTGTCCTCCCGCAGGAAAATCCATCACCTTTTATCAGAACCAGGGGGCCGTGCCAAAGATGCAGCACTGGGAGGAGGACACCATCAGGCTGGAGCTCAGGGAGGAGATGAAGGTAGGGTGTGCAACATCTCTGTGGGGGTGGGGGTGGGGGTGGGTGTGAGGGTGGGCGCAGGCAGCGGCATGGCAGCTGAGCACCCCTCCCTCCAGGTGAAGCTGCTGGAGCTGCAGCAGATGGTATTGCGGCTTACAGCAACTACAACAATGGGCACAGAAAATTCCTGGCCGCTGCCCACAACCCTGCTGATGAGCCCGGTCCAGGAGCCCCAGCTCCCCAGGAGCTTGGGGCTACAGATAAGCATGGTGGTGAGTAGAGCCCTCAGGCGGGGTGGGCAGGCAGGAAGAGGGGGGCTCCCACTGTGCTCAGATCCCCGCCTCCCTCTCTCCAAAGATCTTCGTGAGGTGACCCTCACCTCCTCTGCCCAAGGAGAGGCCAGGGAGGATCCTCTCCTTGACAAGCCTACTGCACAGCCGATCGTGCAGGACCACCAGGAGCACCCAGGCTTGGGCAGCAACTGCTGTGTGCCATTATTTTGTTGGGCTTGGCTGCCAAGAAGAAGGAGATAAACATCACCATCATCAAACAGCTGCTCAAGAAATTTTTAAATAAGAAACCAAGTTATGGGGTTAATCTCCTACACAATTCATTTACTTCCTTTGAATGTTAGACTCACTCATGATTATTTGTGTTTCTAATTTATAGTTTAAGTTTATTTGTAAAAAGTTAAAAGAGAGTGGGTGTCTGTGGCTCTCACTGATGTTCACTCTGGCATCCTTTAGCATTTTTCTTTTTTAATTTCATAATTGTAGGTCATTAGCATGCATATCGAGTTTGCCCTTACGTGGTGGGAGTTCAAACACACAAAGACCCACTCTTTGCCCAAAACTGTTCTCTTTGGTTTGGAATAGGCTGCCATGCTTTTTTAATGTTATTGCAGCATGTATATTCACTACAGCATTCAGACAAAATTTGCCTATGTTCTGCTGTTGTTTGATGTAATCTTAATCACAGTGAGCTCTTCCTTAGCTCAATATGTAGTTTGCCCCCAAGTGTGCACTGTTTATTACTTTGTAATACGCCACTATGAGTACTGACATTTAGAGTTGTTTAAAGGCCAAGAATTGGAAACAGCCTTTCCTCCATTTTCTGTGTATTGGTGATGGGAGTGATAACCTTTTGGGGGAGCTTTTTAAATCTCACAGAAGAGGAAAGTGGCCTCCTCTGGCAGGTATGTGCAAGATAGAGTGTGTTTCATCTCTTCCGGTGCCAGGAATTAGCGGTGTATTATGGTGGTGCCCTTAGGATTTGTATGTGCTCTGGGCTCATGAAGATATTGCATCATGAGCTGCAGCAGTTGCACTCTTTTTCGATGACCTAAAAAGGGCTTATTTCTGAGGAATGAAAGGTTCCCATCGTTGACTGTGGATGTGGAAAACCTTTCCTAGCTTAGAGCATTCGTATCTACAATATATTTTAAAGTCAGAGTTCATGTTACCTGTTTTAATCACAGGACTACATGCCCCAGTACACAAAAGGGCACTGGTTGGCATTCTTCTTAATGTATTTAGTGAAGATCATAAGAAATCCTTTACGAGTTCAAATGTCCCTGGAACAGGCATACAGGCTCTAGTCAAGAATGAATTAGAGTGAAGGAAAGCTGTGTGACTCCTGGCATTCCTCTCTGTTCACGGAGATTCTTTGAGGCTTGAAGATTGATTTTACCATCTAGACCTCTTTGGCTAATACCTATTCTTCAACCACCTTGGTTACTCTGACATAGGAATTTACTTCTTTTTCTTTGAATGGAAAACACTTTAAAAAAAATAGAAACATTCTTATAAACTAATATATGTGAGATAGTTGAAACAAAAAGGAGTTTTAGTAGATGGTATTATACTATCTTTGAAAATCAAGGAGAAGTTTATGAAACTTAAAATGTGTACAAACTGCAGTGCAATCTACTGTTGTTCGTGAATGTCAATGTATTATCAGGAAACGTGTCTATACAACCACAGAGTTATATTTTCTCACAAACTTCTTTACAAAGTGAAATATGTTTTTGTACCTCTGGGTTTCTGTTCGGGACATATTTTGTGCGATATTTATGTGATTGTGCCTATGCATGATGAATGAATGCATTTCAGTTATGTATTGCCTAAATCGTAACTTGATGATGCTTGGGAAAGACTCAACAGTTAAAACTTCATGAAGTTCTAATGTCTGTGTTCCAAAACACATCACATTGTTAGGATGCAGGGAGATAGGTGTGTGTGCTCCCTGCGGTGGGGATTTCTAGTTACTAGATCATCTCCATTTTTAGCATTTGGCATCCTCATGATACTTCTATAAATATGACATTAACAGGAGAGCAACAATACGATTTTACCGATGGAATAACAGATTTGCTGGCATTCACTGAAAGAGTGCAAATATTCGGTCCTTGTGACTTCCACTGACTCTTCCAAATTTTATGAATGTATCAATGTATTAGATAAACCCAGTTTCAGAATGATAAAGAAAAAATGTTAGACCAAATAATGCGGCTAATTAACAGTGGTACGATTTGTAGCCCGTGGGTTTAAAATGCACTTAAAGTCCTGTTCTCGCCTTTTATTTTCTGAACTTGCCGCTTTTGCATTCTTTGAGTTCAGTTTAAAGACAGTTACTTTAAGAGCATTTTAAACCCTCGGGCTAGAAATCGGACCACTGTTAATCAGCCACATTATTTGGTCTAACTTTTTTTTTTTATCATTCTGAAACTGGGTTTATCTAATACATTGATAAATTATTGCAAAGGTACTTTTATCGTTGAAATCACTTCACTTTTACCCTGATAAATATCAGTGACTAGGAATGACCTTCGGATAGCGTTTAGCATCTGTAACCAATCTGACAATAATGTGTTCATGAGGTGCCTATGGATTAAATCACACACTGGCATATTTAAGCTGAAGGTCAGTCTGGAAAATAAATTTACTATATTGACTGAAATACCACTCTTTGTGTAGGTATTTGTGATATATTTAAGAAAACGCTAAAAAGAATGGAAATTGTATGACAATAACTTAAGTCTTTCTCCAAAGTGCATGCAGTCTTTTGCGATACCTCATTCAGCCGAGTATTTGTACTCTTCCTCATTCAGTATAAGGAAGCTTTCAGTTTGCTTAGAAGGCAACATTGGAATGTTAGAGTTCATCAGAAACATAGAATTTTAAACTGTGAGTTCCACTGAATACATTTTAATGTCTGTAGGAAGAATCAAAACACCTATTTAAAGATGGCAATATATAATAATCATTTTAAAAGTATTTGATTCAACCTAATTTTCCAGAAATGAAAAAAAAAAAATCAGCTCTAAAACCAAAGCTGATTTCAGAAAATTTGAAAATGTAAATCAGCCCTATCCATAATATAGTTTCTCTAAAACTTTATCTTAGTCATTTTAAAATAATATAACTATTAAAAAATGTAACTGCTATCTTAATGTTCTGAAATAATTTAAAACATTTTAAAATATGAATACTGTAGTATAAAAGAAAGAAATGGTGGGAACGAAAAGCAGAGAAAGAAATGCCAATTCCAGTCCAAAGTTTTATTTGCCAAGTTTTCTTAGAATGAATTTTACCAGTTTATGAATTATTGTAAACAGAATGTGTCATGGAAATACTGAAAGATTTTTCCCTAGAGTGGCCTTATTGACTGCTGGTGTGATGCCACTGTAATGTAATAAATTATTAAATTGTTTCAATGTGTTGTTTTTGCCTTAAAATTTTATTTTGCGTTTCTTGAAAACTATAGTATTAAAGGTATTGATACTGTGCAAATGCTGGGCATGCTTGGCATGAGATAATGTGTTTCATTTTTACAAAGGTGTAATATAACTATGCAAGTGTTTCTTAACACAAGATTTAAAAAGTTATGGGATTAAAAGAAGTTATGGGGTGAAAAAGTTATGGGATAAAAAATGTAAAAACGTTGTGGCAAAAAAACTTGTGGGAAAAAAGTAGAAAACAGTATTATGAAAAGTTACAAAAGAAGTTATGAAAAAGAAGTTACGGGATTTTTTTTTTAAAAGTCATGGAATAAAAATAAAATGAGAATCATAAGAGAATCATTGAGAATCATAAAAATGCAGATTCTGATTCAGTAGGTCTAGGGTGGGGCCTGAGTTACTTCTTTTTTTTTTTTAGACGGAGTCTTGCTCTGTCGCCCAGGCTGGAGTGCAGTGGCGCGATCTCCGCTCACGCAAGCTCTGCCTCCCGGGTTCACGCCATTCTCCTGCCTCAGCCTCCCGAGTAGCTGGGATTACAGGCGCCCGCCACCACGCCCCGCTAATTTTTTGTATTTTTTAGTAGAGACGAGGTTTCACTGTGTTAGCCAGGATGGTCTTGATCTCCTGACTCGTGATCCACCCGCCTCGGCTTCCCAAAGTGCGGGGATTACAGGCGTGAGCCACTGCGCCCGGCCCTGATTTACTTCCTTTCATGCACCACATAGCAATGTTTCGGTCAACAATGGACTACATATATATCTATCACTGTCTTCCACCTCCACATTCTGTCCTACTGGAAGGTCTTCAGGTGCAATAACACAGAAGGAGCTATCATCTCCTATGATAACAAGGCTTTTTTCTGGAATAGCTCCCCACAGACCACCACAAATATGTGATGTGAGTAATGCACTGTGCTACAGTGATGCTACTACGTCAACAACATCACTAGGCAATAGGAACATTCCAACTCCATTATAATCTTTTTTTTTTTTTTTTTGAAACTGAGTCTTGCTCTGTCGCCCAGGTTGGAGTGCAGTGGCACGATCTGGGCTCACTGCAAGCTCCACCTCCCGGGTTCACGCCATTCTCCTGCCTCAGCTTCCTGAGTAGTTGGGACTACAGGCGCCCACCACCACGCCTGGCTAATTTTTTTGTATTTTTTAGTAGAGACTGGGTTTCACCGTGTTAGCCAGGATGGTCTCAATCTCCTGACTTCGTGAGCCGCCTGCCTTGGCCTCCCAAAGTGCTGGCATTACAGGCATGAGCCACTGCGCCGGGCCCCAACTCCATTATAATCTTATGGGACCAGTGGATATAGATGATCCTGACCCTGCCCAGGCCTAGGCTAATGTGTGAGTTTGTATCTTCATTTTGGTTTTGTTTGGTTTTGTTTGGTTTTGAGACAGGGTCTCGCTCTATCGCCCAGGCTGGAGTGCAGTGGTGCGATCTCAGCTCATTGCAACCTCTGCTCCCCAGGTTCAAGCAATCCTTCCACCTCAGCCTCCCAAGTAGCTGAGACTATAGGTGTGTGCCACTATGCCTGGCTATTTTTCATATTTTTTTGTAAAGGCGGGGTTTCGTCATGTTGTCCAGGCTGGTCTTAAACACCTGGACTCCAGCAATCCACCTGCCTCGGCCTCCCAATGTGCTGGGATTATAGGTGTGAGCCACCAGGCCCAGCCATGTCTTGGTTTTTAACAAAAAAGTTTAAAATGTAAAAAAAATAGAAAAAAATCCTACCGAATATGGAAAGAAAATATTTTTGTACAGCTGTACAATGTGTTTGTGTTTTGAGCTATTACTACAAAGGAGTCAAAAGTTAAGAAAATTTAAAAGCTGATGAAATTAAAAAGTTATAGTAAGCTAACCTTAATTTATTACTGAAGGAAAAAATTTTAATAAATTTAGTGTAGCCTAAGTATATGCTGTTTATAAAGTCTATAACAATGTACAGTAAGGTCCTAGGCCTTCACATTCACTCACCACTCACTGACTCACCCAGAGCAACTTCCAGTCCTGCAAGCTCCACTCATAAGTACCCTACGCAGGTAAAATTTTAAATCTGTGGCCGGTCGCAGTGGCTCACACCTGTAATTCCAGCACTTTGGGAGGCCGAGGTGGGCGGATCACAAGGTCAAGAGATCAAGACCACCCTGGCCAACATGGCGAAACGCCATCTCTACTAAAAATACAAAAATTAGCTGGGCGTGGTGGTGCACGCCTATAGTCCTAGCTACTCGGGAGGCTGAGGTCGGAGAATCGCTTGAACCCGGGAGACAGAGGTTGCAGTAAGCTGAGATTGTGCCACTGCACTCCAGCCTGGTGACAGTGCAAGACTCCATCTCAAAAAAGAAAAAAAAAAAAGAAAAAAATTTAAATGTTATATCATAAATTTTAAATCTGTTAAGATACATAAATACTTGGTATTGTGTTACAATTGCCTACAGTATTCAGTACAGTAATCTGCTGTACAGGTTTGTAGCCTAGGAGCAATAGATTATATCACATAACTAGGTGTGTGTGTAGTTGGCTACACCATCTAGGCTGATGTAAGTACACTCTATGATGTTTGCACAATGACAAAATTGCCTAACAATGCATTTCTCAGAAGGTATCTCTGTCATTAAGAGACACATGGCTATAGTTTCCAGGCGATACCTATGCCGTATTTGAATATCAAGGCTCTAGTTTAGAGCACTGTTTAGGGAAAACCACTGGCCCTGTATCTTAAGTTGGGTTGCCTGAAAAACAGGTACTGAGATGGAGATTTCCCCACAGGAGGCTTACTTGGGAAGGCTCTTGGAACAACACAAGTAAAGGAGTAAAAGAAACAGGATTGGGCAGCCTGTGAAACAGTTGCCACCATCTCAGCTGCTCCTTCAGGAAGCTCTAGAGCTGGGAGGTCCTTCCGTTGTCTTGAGATATGGGGACCAGGCCTATGAAACCCCATATTAACCAGGCATGGAATGTAGACTGCCCAGAGGAAGGCATCACTTGGGGTGAGGCAGGTCCTTTTCATGGAGCAGCTCTCAGAGGGGGACTTTGTTGTGAGCCATGAGGAACCAACACTTCTGCAAGTGGGGCGAGTGAGCACCTCAGCCTGGAGGGGGATCTAGGTGAAGCACCACAGTGTCTACTATTCTGGTGATAGCCCAGTGACCTCAGGAAATCACTGTACTATTTTCCATCTTAGTCCACATTTAGGACAGAATATGATAGACATTTCTGTTTTATTAATAAATGGAACAATGTGGCCGGGTGCGGTGGCTCACGCCTGTAATCCCAACACTTTGGGAGGCTGAGGCGGGCGTATCACGAGGTCAGGAGATCGAGACCATCCTGGCTAACACGGTGAAACCCCGTCTCTACTAAAAATACAAAAATTAGCCGGGCGTGGCGGCATGCGCCTATAGTCCCAGCTGCTGGGGAGGCTGAGGCAGGAGAATGGTGTGAACCCGGAAGGCAGAGCTTGCAGTGAGCCGAGATCACACCACTGCACTCCAGCCTGGGGGACAGAGCGAGACTCCGTCTCAAATAAATAAATAAATAAATAAATAAATAAATAAATAAATAAATTGAACAATGTGTCTGTGGAATGTGCCAGGCCCTAGAAGCAGTGATTCTAGGAACAATCATTTTGGTTTTACAGAAAAAAACTCGGACCTAATTTGAAAGTTGCACAAATCATCTTATTTCAAGCAGGGATGCAGGTAAAAGGTTCAGGAAGGCCCTTTGGCAGACACTTTATGGACTGATTTCACAGAAATGAGGGCTAGGTGAACTAACATCTAAGGAAAAGGATGTGTGCCATCTAGTGGCACTAAAAGCAAAGCCTAATGCTTAACGAAAGATTTCCCTTTTCATCGTCAGGGAACTCAGTGAGGTTTTCAGTAGTGTTTTCCTACTTTTAGAAGTAGGTGTGGGAGTTCACTAAATGAAATAAAATTACAATATCTACAGCTGGATAGCTGTGTGGGGTAACACATAAAATTGGATCCATTCTTTCTACACTGGATAAATTCCAAATTTAAGGACCGGGCGCGGTGCCTCACGCCTGTAATTCCAGCACTTTGGGAGGCAGAGGCAGACAGATCACCTAAGGTCAGGAGTTCAAGACCAGCCTGGCCAATATGGCGAAACCTCGTCTCTACTAAAAACACAAAAATTAGCCAGGTGTGGTGGCATGCACCTGTAGTCTCAGCTACTCAGGAGGCTGAGACAGGAGAATCATCTGAACCCGGGAGGTGAAGGTTGCAGTGAGCAGAGGTCGCATCACTGCACTCCAGCCTCAGAGATCTAACATTAACAAATGAAAACATAGCAGTACTAGAAAATTAAGTACTAGAATTCACAAGAGTGAATACCTTTATAACTCAGAAGTGGGGAAAATACTCCTATCTATGATCAGAATCCAGAAGCATTAAGGGAAGAGATTAACTATAATTTAAACAAACAAAAAAGCAAGGCAAAAAGTCTAAAAAATATATGTAGCTTATATCATGAGGGACTAATATATAAAAAGCTTCTAAAATATTTTTAAAGACCATCCTGAAAGTAAAAGATGGACAATTTAAATAAAAAGAAGTACAAATAGCCCTTAAACAGGTGAAAAGATTGATTTATTGCACTTTGTTTTCCATTTTAGGAGTTGCTTTTACATTTTATTTTATTTTATTTTATTTATTATTATTTTGTTTAGATGGAGTCTCACTGTGTCACCCAGGCTGAAGTGCAGTGGCCGGATCTTGGCTCACTGCAACCTCCGCCTCCCAGGTTCAAGCGATTCTCCTGTCTCAGCCTCCCGAGTAGCTGGGATTACAGGCATGCATCACCACGCATGGCT
Source organism: Homo sapiens (assembly GCF_000001405.40). Taxonomy (NCBI): domain Eukaryota; kingdom Metazoa; phylum Chordata; class Mammalia; order Primates; family Hominidae; genus Homo; species Homo sapiens. The sequence continues at coordinate 2,130,377 of NW_012132920.1, forward strand.
AATCTTTGTATTTTTAGTAGAGACGGGGTTTCACCACGTTGGCCAGGCTGGTCTCGAACTCCTGACCTCAGGTGATCCGTTCACCTTGGCCTCCCAATGTGCTGGGATTACAGGCGTGAGCCACCACCTTATTTTGTATTTTAAACATGTTACACATTTACAGGGTTCCAAGTTTATATATAAAACAAGATATATTCAGAGAGGTCTAGCTTCCATTCCTATTTTCTACTTCACCTGTTCTTGATCTTCTCCTATTGTTTACCATTTTTATTAGATTTTGGTTTACCTTTCTATTGTTTATTTTTGAAAATATAAGTAAGTATCCATTTGTATATGTATCTCTACCACCCCGTATACCAAAGGCAGCATACTATATACACTCTTTTATGCCTTGCTTTTTCACTTCACTTCACATCATAGTCATATATCTTCCACATTCCTTAACAGCTTCATAATACTTTGTCGTAAGCATGCATCATTTGAAAAAATGTTCCACTTCATTGACAAAAAGATAAATACAAAACTATACTGGAGGCTGGGCGCAGTCGCTCATGCCTGTAAACTCAGCACTTTGCGAGGCCGAGGTGAGTGGATAGGTTGAGGTCAGAAGTTCGAGACCAGCCTGGCCAACATGGCGAAACCCTGTCTCTACTAAAATTACAAAAATTAGCCAGGCGTGGTGGTGATTGCCTGTGGTCCCAGCTACTCAGGAGGTTGAGGCAGGAGAATCGCTTGAACCTGGGAGGCAGAAGTTGCAGTGAGCCAAGATAGAGCCACTGAACTCCAGCCTGGGCAACAGAGTGAGACTCCGTCTCAAAAAAAAAAAAAAACTACACTTTGATAACATTTCCCACATATCGATTTAGCAAACATCTAGGAGTTTGACAATTCATTCTATTGGAGAGGCTGCAGAGAAACAGGAAATGCTGCTGGTGTGAATACAAAACTGCACAACCCCTATGAAGGGGAATTTGGCAGAATTAAACAAAATAACATGTTCTTTTACCCTTTGACCTAACAATCCCATTTATAGAAATCTATGCTAAAGACCCACTGGCAAAAGCATATTATATATGCACAAGGAAACTTTTGTATAGCAAAAGACTGGGAATAGTCCACATATCCACTAGTAAGGGCCTGGCTAAATAAACTACAGTACATCCATATATAACCAAAAAGAATAATTATGCCCAGTTCATTTAAAACACAGTATCTTGATTTTACATCCTTAGTTGGATACAATTTTAGAAAAAAGGAAGTACATGCAAAGTTAAACTTCATTTATCTGTTAGCAATATCTCTATTGTTATTCTGTTTTTATTCTTTATCCTGTTATTGCTATTGTTGTGTTTATATACCTGTGAATATAGGTAGATGAAGCAAATAACCATTATGTTAATATTAATATTTATTAATAGTAACATTAATAATAAGGCAATGAAAAGAACCAATATTTTCATTGCCTCCTTGTGTGTAGGAAAAAAGAACCAATATTTTCATCTTAAGAGAAAGGAAGGGCCGGATGTGGTGGCTCACACCTGTAATCCCAGCACTTTGGGAGGCCGAGGCGGGTGGATCACGAGGTCAGGAGTTCAGGACCAGCCTGGCCAAAATGGTGAAACACCGTCTCTACTAAACATACAAAAATTAGCCGGGCCTGCTGGCAGACGCCTGTAATCCCAGCTGCTTGGGAGGCTGAGGCAGAGAATTGCTTGAACGTGGGAGGTGGAGTTTGCAGTGAGCCGAAATTGTGCAACTGCACTCCAGCCTGGGCGACAGAGCGAGACTCCGTCACAAAAAAAAAAAAAAAAAAAGAGAGAAAGGAGACGAAAAACAAGAAGAGCTCAGCTTTAAAAAAGGATCACGACGTAGAAAAAGACACAACACTGAAGATTGTCATGGGTCTTTAAGAAAAGGAAATTTGAGACGGCTAAAACGCCGAACAGTGTGGAGTTTGGGGAAGAGATGTGGCTAAAGACAGCGTAAGCAATTTTTTAAAGTTATGTCTGAAGCAAGAAGAAAAGACAAGGAATAGGTTCAGTTTCATCTCTGATACACCGTTTCTTGTTAAAATTGATGTTTTTTTCTGCAGGCATTTGCTTCCTGAATGATGGTCCCACTCAGCCATCCACCTATACTTTCTACAAAGTCAATTTATACTGATTCTTCAGATCAGTTAATCACTGGTACGTTTCCCCTCCCCGGTCAAGGATCTTTTATTATACGCTATCATAGAATCATATTCCTTTCCTTAGCGCACTTCTCTCAACTGATAAGTGCCGCCATTAATGTACTTACTTGATAAATATATGCCTGCCTTTCCTCTTCCAGGGCCGAAACTGTGCCTGGTTTTGCTCATCATTCTATAGTCTATAGCACGAGTTCAATAAACAGTTGTTAAAGCAACATATTTAACTTACATTTTGTTCCCATCTCTTCACTCAGAGACTTTTCTTTGGATTGGGAAGGGTAAAATATCCGAAGATTTGAACTCCAAAAGAAACAAAATGATTCTATGCAAACGTTTCCTACTTAAAACTCATTCATTGGACAAATATTCATTTAGTCCCTGGCACTATTTGGTAATAGGAATACAGGAGTGCATATGGCAGATAAAGTTCTGTTGCTGCCCTTACCAAGTTTCGTGGGGGTGAGATGTGGTGTTAGTAAATGCATACTATTTTGTCTGTATTTAAATCGAGTCCAAATCTCTCGCTCTACAGCCCGCCTTGGGATGTTTCTTATATCCCAAGAAACAGAATATTTTGATGGGATCGCTGATGTTTCAGACTGCAAAAGCAGCTCAGGGCGTTTGCAGTCGTGCAAGTCAACAAGATAACCGTCTGGACCGGAAGCTGGGCTCCTCCCGGTCTCCTAACGCCAAATCCAACACCAAGCTTCTGCAGCTGCCACCTCCCGTAGACTTCGCATTTCTTCCGCACTCTCCTCTCACGACGGGTCTTCTTTGTTGTACTTAATTTCCTACGCAATAAGATTTCAGCATCACCATCAGTCCCCCAAAGACTAATTCCCACAGAGCCGAAGTTCCCACCAAGGGCCGAGGGTTAAGGTTACTAAAATCAGCGTTTCTGAATCCTGTCTCAAGTTGTCTCATCTGGGCTTCCGTAGAACGGTTTCTTCATAAGAGGGCCTTCAGCGACAGCCGAGCTCGGAAAAGAACGGGAATAAGTTGTCTTTTATATTTCCTCAAATACTGTGAATGGTCTGAGGCGCAGGTCAGGTGTATTTAAAAACCTTTAAACAGTATTCCCCCGCCCCAAAAACTGGCCTTGAAGGAACAAGTGAAACTCATCCTGCTTTTCATGTTTGCTGGGTTTGCCCGTTACACCCCTTCGCCCGCACTTATCTAGACAGGCAGCTCTCGGCCACCCTCCGGGGTCCTGATTTTGAAAAGAGGAGTGGACCAATCAGATGTGGAGCGCTGTTTGGCGCTGCCATTTGAGCCTGGGCTGAAACTGCGGGTGTGACCCCCCCGTGGTGGCTCTGGGTGTCTGCGGAGGAGCTGGGGGCGGAAGCATGAGGCTAACGGCTTGGCTTCAGTGAACGCACCGGGATGTGCAGGCCGGGAGGTAGAGGCAGGCTGATGGGGGAGGGAACGAGCAGCCTGTGAGACGGGGTGACGGCGGCTACCAGCCCGGGCGGGCACCGGGACTGGAAGAGTTGCCTGAGCAGCCGGCTGGTCCGGCGGCCAGGCTAGGGCGGGGGCGAGCGCCCAGTTGAGCCTGCTGGGGCTGGAGGAGCGAGAAGGGTTTTCTTCACATTTCAGAGCGAACCAGACGGGGACAGTAAGGTTTGGAGGAAGGGGGATCGTTGGAAGTAGCAAGAAGTGGAGAGAATCTGGCAATAGACGAGAAACCGAAAGAATCAGAAAGAAGTCTATGTGAGTAGCTGAAAGCATTGGGTGACCAGAAAGAAGGTCGGTGTAAGTGAAGGAAGAGTGAGGTGTGGCTGGATCAAAGGGCTAAGAGAAGCGGGTCTGTGTAAGTGGATGTGAGTGAGGATCAAGGAAAAGCCGTGGAAGTGGCCGGGGGTCGGGGCCGCAGAAGTGCCAGACGGGGCCGGAAAGCAGCCGAGCGGAGTTCAAATTTGAGAGCGTTTGGAAATTGGAAGACTTGGTGGCGAACGAGGGTCAGGACCTGCATCCTGCCTCAGAGAGTTATCGACGTATCCGGAATGTGGGATCAGAGGCTGGTGAGGTTGGCCCTGTTGCAGCATCTGCGGGCCTTCTATGGTATTAAGGTGAAGGGTGTCCGTGGGCAGTGCGATCGCAGGAGACATGAAACAGCAGCCACGGAAATAGGGGTAAGTTCTGTGAAAAGGGATTTAGGTTTAAAAGAAAGGGCACACCCTTTATCATCACTTACTACCAGATCGTGCTAAAATGTTCACTCTGTGTATCAAAAAGAATGGTTAGGTGTGTAATTCAGTTCAGATGGTCGATTGCTGATATTTAAAAAGTGACATTCTTGTTTTTTTTCCCCCAAGGATTTTTGATCATTGAGAGAAAGTTGCAGGATTTTCCAACTTCAGCACTATTGACATTTTGGATTAGATAATTTTTGTTAGGGGAAGACGAAATGCTGTTCTGTGAATTGTGGGATGTTTAGCGGGATGTCTGTCTTTTACCCACTAGATGCTGGTAGCATCTCTCAGTTGTGACAATTAAAAATGTCTCCGGATATTGCCAGCTTACTGTATTTGGAACAGGTAGTACGTTGGGAGGGACAAAAACTCTACCCCTCCACCCTTGTTTTAGAGTAAGGTTGTAGAGGGACAAGGGAGACCAGTGCATTTTCTACATGAATCTGTAGATGAAGAAGTATGACAGAACATTAGAAATAGGCTTCAAATGATGACTGCATATTCACTAATTTGGGAAACAGATTTGCTGCTTGGCCATGTCATACTTTTGGGACAGTAAATTTTTTTTTGTATGAGTAAATTGAGAAGCCAGAGTGGAATAATTGAGAAGTTGTTGATGTTTTGGTGGTTGAAATAAAGGGATTTTGAATGAGATTTTAATAGCTCTGCCACATAATCAGGAATTCCATTGTGAAAAATAAGCTGAATGTAAAGCATTTTATTTTAAATTTATGTGCCTAATTTATATGGTACTTCCTAGTACTTGGAGACAAGCTAATAAAATTAATATACGTTGCTTTTAATAGTTTATGGTTTCTTAAAAAAAGTGCTTGGAGAAGAAAACCACTAACAAAAGTAATATGTGTGCCTCTTAATCGCTGATAAACTTTGGAGAAGTTATTTTTGTTGGTAGCAAATTAATGGCAATACATGTACTTACATTTAAAAAGCTACAGTGATTTTTTTCTGATTGTAAAACTGGCTTTCCAAGATCTCAAATGTAGCTGATTTTGTAAGTATATGGAAGAGTTTGTATATGGACTTTTTTTCACCCCTTTTCTTTTCTTTTCCTTTTTTTTTTTTTTTTTTTTGAGATGGAGTCTCCCTCTGTCGCCCAGGCTGGAGTGCAGTGGCGCGATCTTGGCTCACTGCAAGCTCCGCCTCCCGGGTTCACGCCATTCTCCTGCCTCAGCTTCCCGAGTAGCTGGGACTACAGGCGCCCGCCACCACACCTGGCTAATTTTTTGTATTTTTTAGTAGAGACGGGATTTCACCGTGTTAGCCAGGATGGTCTCGATCTCCTGCCCTCGTGATCCGCCCGCCTCGGCCTCCCAAAGTGGTGGGATGGCAGGCGTGAGCCACTGCACTCGGCCTTTTCACCGCTTAACAAGAAAAACTGTTGCCTGTTTTCAGAGTCAGATAGACCTGAGTTTGAGTGCTGTTCCACCCCTACTACATCTGTAAACTTGGGCTGCTTGTTTGATTTCCCTAAGCTTCAGTTTTATATATATAAAGTGGGAACGTATTTCTCCTTGGATTATTTAGGGATTTTTAAAAAGTGAAGCTCTTTATGTAGGCCTAGCACAGTGCGGGTAACATGCCACTTCTTCATCTAATGATAGTTGTCATATCATTGGTCTGCCTCCTAATTGGTAATCATGCCATATAAATTCAGCTAGAAACACTTATAAGAATATTCTAATGAAGAAATATAGAAGATCATTGTGTTAGGAGATCTAATGGGATAGTTTGTTTGAAAACAATTTCTTTAGCCGACTGGTGTTTGTTAGCTAACTGTAGTTTTAAGTTTTAAAAACATTTTATGAGATTAAATTATAGTGGTTACTTGTGAGGCCAGTTATTCTAAATAATAAGACTTAAGGAAAAAAACACGCTGAATTCTAGTTATATATAGCAGAAGTAGACTTACCAGCTTAAGTATCTGGTTTATTTTTACATTTGGTTTGGCTGCACAGTATCAAGAAAATTCTGATTTACCCAATAAAGGGGTTGCCCATACTAACATTTTTAAAAATAGTTCAGCTTAAAATGATGATCATAATATTAACAAATATTTTTTGAATGCTTACTGTGTGTCAGACACTGATACAAGTGTTTTGTATGTTTTAATTTATTTAATTCTTCCTACACCTCTATGACTTAGGATCTGTGTGAGGATACCGAGGAACAGAATGTTAATTTGATCCAGGTCACTCAGCTGTTAAGCAAGAGTTAAGATGTAAAGCCTGGCATTTTTGTGTGTGCGATGGCTCACGCCTGTAATCCCAGCATTTTGGGAGGCCGAGGCGGGTGGATAACGAGGTCAGGAGATCGAGACCATCCTAGCTAACACGGTGAAACCCCCCCCCCCGCCCCACGTCTCTACTAAAAATACAAAAAAATTAGCCAGGTGTGGTGGCGGGCGCCTGTAGTCCCAGCTACTCGGGAAGCTGAGGCAGGAGAATGGGTGAACCCGGGAGGCGGAGCTTGCAGTGAGCCGAGATTGCGCCACTGCACTCCAGCCTGGGCCACAAAGTGAGACTCCCTCTCAAAAAAAATACACCTGTCATTTTTGCCTTCAGGAGCCTACTCTCTTAAGCACTTACTATACTATACTGTCTTTTCAGCTTACAATATTTGTAAATTAATTGGAGCCAGGTGCTTGAAAGGGAATTAGTAAAATTTTGTTACTGTGTTGCGTCATTGACAATGCTGAGTGGTTTTTATTGTAAATATAAAGTTAAATATAATGCTCATAAAACATAAATACTTCTTGGTTGATAACTTGTGACATCAAAAAAAGTACTTCAGCATTCACAGAGCAGATGCATGTAAACTAAATTAACATGTGAGATTATGCATACCCACTTAAGTTTGAATAACCAGACATTTACAGGCTTGAATTTACCTTTCAGTGCTGTGGAAAGCGACACATTTTTAAGAGGTTCGAATGCATGCACAAAGATAGTGGCAGATTCTTTATTCTTCAGTGTGCAAAAACATTCAAGTTAACCAACACACAGCTTTACTCTTGGGATCTTCAGTGTATTAAAATTTGAATGTGAGGTTTTAAAAATGGGTTTCCAGCTAGTTAAATGAAGTTTGACTTAAATATTTGCACACTCCTGCCTTGCTTACCGCAGGGCATGGTTTGAAAAGCACTCTTCTATAGAAGGTGGAAAATGTATTAGGTATAAAAATAACTTCTGATGTAATTTTAGGAAGACTCAATGAATGACAGGAATTAGTGTTTTGCTTTTCAATTGACTTAGTCTTTTGTGTAAGTATTTATAAGGTGACCAAAAGAAAGTATCTAGTAAGTATTTATAAGGTCATTAAAGCAACCTATAGTATTTTGGGGTAAATGTTAGTGTTTTGGACCAAATTCTGTTTTAAGAATTTACTGACTAACCAGTAACCAAATTGACTTTATGATCAGATTGGAAACTTGAGTTTACTAGATTATTTGAGGGGAATGACATTATCTTGGCCATCTTTGTACTCCCAGCACTCAGCATACTGTCTAATATAGTAATTATTTGTTATCAAATGCACTTGAAATGATTATTTTTGTCTTGATAGATAGTTTATCATTTATTTCTGATTTTTTTTTAATTTCCTGAGTTCTTTAATTTGCCTAAAGTTTAAGAAAACTGATATTATGCCTAATATTTGTGTTAGAGTAACTGAATTTGTCATTTTAGGGTAAAATATTTGGAGTACCTTTTAATGCACTGCCCCATTCTGCTGTACCAGAATATGGACACATTCCAAGGTAAGCAGAGTTTGAAATGAAGAAGGCCGGGTGCAGTGGCATATGCCTGTAACCCCAGCATTTTGAGAGGCCGAGGTGGGCAAATCACTTGAGTCCAGGAGCTTAAGACCAGCCTGGGCAACATGGTGAGACCTTGTCGCAAAAGATAGAAAAATTAGCTTGGCGGAGCACACTTGTAGTCCCAGCTACTCAGGGGCCTGGGGTGGGAGGATTGCTTGAGCCCAGGAGGTGGAGGCTGCAGTGAGCCTTCTAGCCAGGGAAATGAAGAAGAAGAGAGTAAGCATTTCAAACTGGTTTTAGAGAGTTTAAAAGAAATAGTTGATTAAAACATAATTGTTTCAAACCAGCAAATGATTTAATCTCTCATAATGTTAAAAATATTTTTTTAACTTTTACATATTTTAAATTTATAATTTGTACTCATTCCCAGGATTGAATTTTAAAGTCCAGTAATGAGTAAATGTTAGAAATCACAAAAAATTTTTGTTCTGTTAAGTCAGTTTTCAGTTCTATGTGAATTCTTTTGCCACAACTCAGATTAAGTAATATACTGACTTACCAATTCAGTAATAATTTTGACTTTTTTTTGTTTGTTAAAAAAATATTGGCCAGGCACAGTAGCTCATGCCTATAATCCCAGCATTTTGAGGCCCGAGGCAGGAGGATCGCTTGAGCCCAGGATTTTGAGACCAGTCTGGGCAACAAAGCAAGACTCCATGTATAAAAAAAATTTTAAAGAAAAATCAGCTGGGCAAGGTGGTGTGCACCTGTAGTCCCAGCTACCTCTGAAGCTGAGGCAGAGGATTGTTTGACCCTAGGAGTTTGAGGCTGCAGTGAGCTATGCTCATTGCCACTGCACTCCAGCATTGGCAACAGAGTGAGACCATGTCTCTTGAAAACAAATATTGGATAAAAGAATATTTAAGCTAAGATATTAGAGTGTTTGTGAAAATGTATTATGTATCACTTAGCTTTTCTATGCCACTTACTATTTATAAATAACCTTTTATTCTTTTTTTTTTTTTTTTTTTTTTTGAGACAAGAGTTTCACTCTTGTCGCCCAGGCTGGAGTGCAATGGCGTGAGCTCGGCTCACCGCAACCTTCACCTCCTGGGTTCAAGTGATTCTCCTGCCTCAGCCTCCGGAGTAGCTGGGATTACAGGTGTCCACCACCACACTTAGCTAATTTTTGTATTTTAGTAGAGATGGGGTTTCACCATGTTGGCCAGGCTGGTCTCAAACTCCTGACCTCAGGTGATCTACCTGCTTCAGCCTCCCAAAGTGCTAGGATTACAGGCGTGAGCCACTGTGCTGGCCTATTCTAACTGCATCAGAACTTACTAGGAAAGTTTATGTTTTAAGAATATAATTTAGCCGGGCGCCGGGGCTCACGCCTGTAATCCCAGCACTTTGGGAGGCCGAGGCGGGCAGATTACGAGGTCAGGAGATCCAGACCTTCCTGGCTAACACAGTGAAACCCCGTCTCTACTAAAAATACAAAACATTAGCTGAGTGTGGTAGCACGCACCTGTAGTTCCAGCTACTCGGGAGGCTGAGGCAGGGGAATGGCATGCCAGGAGGCGGAGCTTGCAGTGAGCCAAAATTGTACCACTGCACTCCAGCCTGGGCGACAGAGTGAGACTCCGTCTCAAAAAAAAAAAAAAAAAAGAAAAAAAAAGAATGTAATCTAAAAATGCATATGGTGAAACTTATCCTTAATTCATTTCCCCTCCATCTAAAGTAGGGTTCATTTGGGCTACTATAGACCAATAATCTAGGTTTTAATTGACATGTCATCCAAAAGCAATTATCGAACACCTGGTTGCCTTAGGACAGTTTCCCCCCATTCATCCTATAGGTGTAGATTCACTGTCTTCTTAGGTAACCGCTTAACCATTTTGCTCTTTAAATGACCTATGAAAGGCTTGATTTTCTTATAATGAACACCTATAATGATTTTCAACAGGCCGGGCACAGGAGCTCATGCCTGTTATGCCAGCACTTAGGGAGGCCCAGGTGGTGGATTGCTTGAGCCCAGGAGTTCAAGACAAGCCTGGGCAACATGGTGAAATCTTGTCTCTACAAAAAATAGAAAAATTAGCTGGGCGTAGTGATGTGTGCCTATAGTCCCAGCTAGTCGGGAGGCTGAGGTGGGAGGATCACTTGCGCCCAGGAGGCAAAGGTTGCAGTGAGCAGTGATCGCACCACTCCAGCCTGGGTGACAGAGCGAGACCCTGTCTCAAAATAAAAACTAAAAGAAAAAAAAAAGCAGATTTTCGGCGTCTGGAATTGCAAAGTCATATTCCCAGGAATCATGACTATATCTTCATTGTAATTTCATGACCTACTTTTTATTTAATTAAAAAGACTGTTTTGTCAGTTACCTTCTGTAAATAAGGCTGACATTCAGCCACTGTGCACCAATACAGCTGTATCAATTGTTGGTAGCCGATATTCATTCTAATTTGTGGGTCCCAGCTGTTCAATATCTAGGTATCTAAAGCCAACATTGAGATTTATTTGAACATTGTTCAAAATAAAGAAATTGAGCACATTCCCCTTAATATGAAAAGGCTTGTAAGGACTGGGATATATCCTACTTTTCTGAGGGATAATGTTGGGGTGAGGAAAAAAAAACCTCGCCCTGTTTTTGGGTGATGTAGGAGATGAGAAAATCACCCATGAAGAGATAGTAGATAAAAGAAGGTGGCCTTGGACAGAGCCCTGGGTTGTTCCAGCATGTAGAGGTTTCACATAAGAGGAGTGAGAAAAGGAATTTGAGAAGGAGCAGGCAGGGAGATAGCAGGAAAACTAAAAGAGTAGTGAAAAAGTATTTTTGAGATGAACAGGGAAGGGATCAGGTGTGTCAAATGGTGATAGATCGAGCAATACGAGGACAACACACTGACCATGGATTTGGCAAGGCAGAGGCTGTTAGTGAGCTTGAAGAGAGCTAT